>NC_000006.12:100676850-100828365 GCF_000001405.40 Homo sapiens | reverse complement strand
GATAAAGGGGAACTACTACAATAGATACCTTGTACTTTTTTTATCCCCATTTCTATCGGATAAAGGGGAACTACTGTAATAGATACCTTGTACTTTTTTTATCCCCATTTCCTCTTAACTAGTTCCAGTTACATATTAGGCTAAATAATTTGCTAAACTAAAATGATTGCATTGTTAAATATTTGTTTTGTTGCTATTATGAAATAATTATTAATATGAGTTACTAAATTGTTTTTTCAGTGTTAAGCTTTTTTTCGTTTTTTTTTTTTTTTTAGAAAATACTGTGTGTCAGCATGATATCCAAGTGGTTAAATTGTGTTTGACAAAAACATTTTTCTTATGAGAAATAAGTTTGAAAGGAAATAAAGTTTAAGTTGTTTAATATCAGTCCTTGTATATTAGTTTTGAGCTGCCTTTGTCTACATGATAATGGATTTTTGTTTAAAATTTTTGTTGTTCATTCTAAATAGGGTAAATGTGAAAATCCATTTTGTTAAATTAATGGTGTATGCTTAGTAGACACAAAGTGAAAAAAATGATAAAATCTGGTTTGTATTGTTTGAAAATAAAAAATTTTCTGTGATTAATATGTTTATAATTTTAGAGTTGGAAAACATAAAAAGGAAAAATGAAAAGTGTACAATATAGTAGTATCCTGTTAGCATTTGTCTGTATAGGATTTGTTTGCTTGTTTTTTGGACATTATAGTATTTATAAAGGGCAAAATTTATTGAAATAAAAAAAGACTTAATTGCCAAAACTTGGAAGCAGCTGAGATATCCTTCATTAGGTAAATGGGTAAACACTGTGGTGAATGCATCTAATAGAATATGATTCAGTGATAAAAAGAAATGAGCTATCAAGCCACAAAAAATTACAAGAACCTTAAATGAAAATTGTTGGGTATAAGAAGCCAATCTAAAAAGGCTACATATTCTGTGATTCCAACTGTTTGACCTTCTGCAAAAGGCAAAAACTATGGAGACAATGAAAAAATAAATGGTTTCCAGGGATTTGGGGAAAGGGAGAAAGGGTGGAATAGGTAGAACACAGGATTTTAAGGGTAATGAGTGATACTGAAATGATTCTGAATGATACTGTAATGGTGGTTACTTGTCATTATAATAGTTATATATTTGTTAAAACTTGTAGAATGTAAAACACAAAATGTGAACCCCAGTGTAAACTGTGGACTTCTGAAAACTAATTGGTAGTAAGTATGATACAACTAGACAGATAAATGGTGTGATATAAACATATTCCATCTAAATCTGAGCGGACCATTTTACAGTAGAATCCAGACTAATGCCATCTTTTTGTGATGATTGATGTATTCTGTATTTGCTCTCCAACATGGTAGACAGTAGCCACATATGGCTGTTGATTACTTAAAATGTGGCTAATGTAACTTAGAAATTGTATTTTAAATTTTATTTAATTTTAATTATGTAGAATGTAAGTAGCCTCATGTGGCTGGCAGCTACAATATTAGGAAGTATCTAAATGACAGAAGAAAGAGAAATGTAGACTGGTAAAATACAGTTTAGATGGAATTAGTAGTTGATTGAAAAAACCTTACTCTGAATTTTGGTTCATTGCCTGTTTGGGAGCAGGTCTTCATTCTTTATCCTGCAGTTTTATTGAAAAACCTTACTCTGAATGTTGATTCATTGCCAGTGTGGGAGCAGGCCTTCATTCTTTATCCTGCAGTTTTTAAATTTGGTTCTGTCTTCAGCAGTTCAATTAGTAATCTGCATAAAGGTGTGGTTCTAAAACTTGTGAGGGTCAGATTCAACATTGATAGTATTACAGATATGATGGATGACATAATGTGGACTTAGAAAGCTTCCAAAAGACTAAAATGAGGAAACAGTACAAAAGTGAACTGTATAAGGATCCATTTAGACTTAAAAAATATTATGTAAAGTACAGTTTGGCCAGGTGCAGTGGCTCACGCCTGTAATACCAGCACTTTGGGAGGCCGAGGCAGGCAGATCACAAGGTCAGGAGTTTGAGACCAGCCTGGCCAATATGGTGAAACCCCGTCTCTACTAAAAATACAAAAAATTAGCCGGGCGTGGTGGTGGGCACCTGTAGTCCCAGCTACTCAGGAGGCTAAGGCAGGAGAATTGCTTGAATCCGGGAGGCAGAGGTTGCGGTGAGCCAAGATCACGCCACTGCACTCCATCCTGGGTGATAGAGGGAGACTGTCTCAAAAAATGAAAAAAAAAGTACAGTTTGTGGGAGACTTAGCCTAAAAGAAGTTCATGTGGAAAAAAAATTAAAACCAAAGGCTTTTGTTTGACTGCATATTGAGTTTGTAGTCAGCATTTTGTTGTCATTACCATTTTGTGCTGTGTTCAGAGAAGCTTAATACTAATCCAAGGTTGGTAATAATCTTTGTGATCTGTGCTGATCAAATTATATTTGAAATACTATGTTCAATTATGAATGCACAAGTATCAATAGCCGAGTCAATCAAGCAGAAGAAAGAATATCAGAGATTGAAGATTAACTTAATGAAATAAAGTGAGAAGACAAGATTAGAGAAAAAAGAATAAAAAGGAACAAACAAAGCCTCCAAGAAATATGGGACTATGTGAAAATACCAAATCTACATTTGATTGGTGTACCTGAAAGTGACGGGGAGAATGGAACCAAGTTGGATAACACTCTTCAGGATATTATCCAGGAGAACTTCCCCAACCTAGCAAGACAGGCCAACATTCAAATTCAGGAAATACAGAGAACACCACAAGATACTCCTCAAGAAGAGCAACCTCAAGACACATAATCATCAGGTTCACCAAGGTTGAAATGATGGAAAAACTGTTAAAGGCAGCCAGAGAGAAAGGTGGGGTTACCCACAAGGGGAAGCCTATGAGACTGAATGCGATTTTTTAAGAGGCTCCGTAAAAGGGACATTTCTAAAGGAACTTAGATGAAGAATCATTAGAAACCAAGTTATAAGAGTAGTAGTAAGAAGTTGTTGCATTTTTACCTAGGGAAAAAAAACTTGAGTAGCATCCCTAGAATATTACTTGACATTATCTGCTTTTTTAGCCGATGGGCTAAAAAAAAAAAAAAAAAAATCACAAAAGAATCTCATAGTGTTTTAAGAAAGTTTACTAATTTGTGTTGGGACTCATTCAAAACTGTCCTAGGCCACATGCGGCCCACAGGCCACGGGTTGGACAAGCTTGAAAAACATATCCTATAAACAGGCTCTTCACTATCCTGGTTACTTTTTTCAGAATGTATTTCAATTTTTCATTGTAGTCTTCTTAAACAGTATAGATTATAATTTAATTCAAAACTCAATAAATATGGTTCAATCATTGTAGCATCCTTTGGAATGGTACATGGGGTGTTTAACATACTGTATTACTATTGAGATATTAAATTTTTTCCTGGCCTTTATTGTATTTTTTATTCACATTAAGCTTGCAAAAAAACCAAAAAGAAACAAAAAACTAATCCTTTACCCTTCAAGGCTTTCATGTAATGTATTTATGGTACCAGTTTTCTCCATCTTATTTATGCAAGTACACATGAGTTTTTAAATCTAATTGCAGAGTTTTATATTTACCTCTAATACTTCTTAAATTATATCAGATTATTTACAAAGTTTGAAAGTATTGATATTATCATGTACCATATTAATACTCTTAATTTATTTTATTTAATATGTCTTCTAGTTTATATATCACTGATAAAATTATTGAACAGGGGAGAGCGATGAACAATCCTTGAATAATAACTTTAGTGGCTGATCTCAATATTGACATTAATTCCATAATCTGCCTGACCGTATTCTAATTCGAAAGGGTTCTTGATCTTAGCCAAAAGGCTGAGAAGCGATAAGGATGTCTCATTCACATCAAGATATTCTGCCTACTGTGCATCATCAGCTATTTTTCAGAATGTTGACTATTTATGTGGAAAGTAGTTGGTTTCTCATTTGAATGAGGTCTTTTGGAACTCCAAGTAGACTTATTTTTGACTTTTAATGAATTCTCTAGTAGTCACTAGATGGAAACAGAATGGAACTGACAAAACTTTTGTAAGTTTTATTTGCTTTAAAGCCTGTTTTAGTGCTTACTTAATTATTTCTTAAACACTGTAGTCAGAGAAGCAGGGTTCAAATAGCACAATAACATAGCAAGAATTGTGTTTTACTTGGATATAATATTTTGCTTCTGCATCTTTAAGTAAACCCATAATCTAATTAGGTTTGTCATATTTATTCTTTGGTTTCACAAACCCTCAGTTTACCTCTGCATAACCCAGTTTGTAGATTTATGGTTCATATTTAGGCTCATTATATCTTTTTTAAGCCGATTTTTATAGGATTTATAATGTAATTTTCCATGGTATATTATTTAAAAAGCTTAACATTACTTCTAATTTTGTATTTGTGGTGATATCTGTGATTCATTTGATATTGTATTGGGAATTTAACATACACTATAGCATTGTTCCTGTTGGAATAACAGTGATATAATTCTGTGTATGTGGAAAATGAGGATTACCTTTCTTGAGAGATTCAAAGCTGCATTTGTTTATTAAATGTGTTGTATTGTCAAGAAAAAAGGAAGTAATGCTGTTTTAGTTTGTGCATGCCCTGAAATAATTTTTTTGGCATCTCAACAACTGAGTCTTTTGGTTGATTTTTTGACTGTTTCTATTCATGAATTTTATGAAAAACTACTTAAAAAATTTAATTTTAAGAATAAGGCTTTATATTAATAAGAATAACTGTAAGCACCTTTGTCTATTGGATAAGACCTTAACAGATAATAATGACTTTAAAAATTTCTACCAGGAAAAGCATGTTGCCCGTCCATACCTACTGTGTCTCCCTTAAATCTCATATCTTTAGTTTATTGCCAGAATAGTGAAACTTGCCTTTTCATTGTTGGAGAGCTGCATTCGTTCATGTTTTGTTTTAAAAATCTCTTTAGTAGAAGTCTGTTTCTATACCCGCAGCTAACTTCTTCCTCGCTGTTTTTTTTGTTGTTGTTGTTGTGTTTTTAATTTGATAACTTCAGGAACTTGTATCTGTGCGTAGAGCAGTGATCCAGACAGCTGTACTTTTATGAACAGTCACTCTGACTGCCAAATTAGTTTGTAGTGCAAATCTTGAGTGAGAACAGCACCTGTTCTCAATGTGGATGAAAATGGCAAATGTTATGGGAAGCATAATTTTGGGATTTCTTTAAATCTAATGGCAGCTGATCTCAGAATTCTGATGGGATCATCTTGGAGTTACGGAAATCCTATTAAGAGCAAAGCACTCTTTTTATCTCTTTTGCTAGGTCTTAGGTGTGTTATTTTTAAAAAATAATGTGCTTTTTTGTGTGGTGATCCTATGCTTGGGACTTGGCACTAGAAGTTATCTTCCAAATATACTGGTGGTTTCCTAGAAGTATATATTGGGTTAAACATTTCTAACTAGAACTTATCATGTATGAACATTGCATTTTGGATTGAATAGCTAAGATATGTAAGGATATCTCTGCCATGATAAATTATTTTCTTATGGAAGAAATGGTCTCATTTTCAGAACTAACAAATTTTTTGGGAGTTGATAGGATTTAAAGGACAGTTCATGCTGTATATAGAGAGCATTTCCTATTTGTTTCAAGTCAGGTGGGAGAAAGTAACTATGTAGGTATGTATTGTAGTTATCTATTTGAATTTTCAAGGTTCTTTAGTACCGGTCTTAACCTTAAGCACAGAGGTTGTATCTCACTCACAGCAATTCAAGACACTCATTCAAAATGCTTTTAGGGAAAATTATATTTAATCTTTTTTTTTTTTTTTTTTGGAGACGGAGTCTTGCTCGTCGCCCAGGCTGGAGTGCAGTGGCGCGATCTTGGATCACTGCAACCTCTGTCTTCCAGGCTCAAGCCATCCTCCCACCTCAACCTCCTGAGTAGTTGGGACCACAGGCATATGCCACCATGGCTGGCTAATTTTTGTATTTTTTGAAGAGATGGAGTCTTACTTTGTTGCCCAGGTTGGTCTCGAACTCCTGAGCTCAAGTGATCTGCCTGCCTCAGCCTCCCAAAATGTTGGGATTACAGGCGTGAGCCACTGCGCCTGGCATTTTTGTTTGTTTGTTACATTTTCTATTGTAAGTCATTTTGGTTTGTAAGCTTTAAAGCATAGCTTAATTGATTCATAGTTCACATAACATACAAGACATCCATTGAAAGTGTATCAATGATTGTTTTTAGTATATTAACAGATGAGGGCAGTCATTACCACAGTCAATTTTAGAGCATTTTCATCACCTCAAAAAGAAATCTTTGACCTTTAACTACCATCTTCCATTCTCCTTCTCCCTACCCCCTCCACCCTTAGTGAACCAATTATCTACTTTCTGTGTCTGGAGATTTCTCCATTTTGGACACTTTGTACAAATGGAATCATCTAATATGGTCTTTCTTGACTGTTTTTTTTACTTAGCAAAACGTTTTCATAGTTCATTCATGTTGTTTATTACTTCATTTTTTTATTTTTTTATTTTTTTTGGTGAGTCGGAGTCTCGCTCTGTCATCCAGGCTGGGGTACAGTGGCACAATCTTGGCTTACTACAACCTCCGCCTCCTGGGTTCAAGCAGTTCTCTTGCCTCAGCCTTCTGAGTAGCTGGGATTACAGGCTCGTGCCACCACGCCCAGCTAACTTTTGTATTTTTAGTAGAGACAGGGTTTCACCATGTCAGCCAGGCTGGCCTCGAACTCCTGACCTTGTGATCCACCCACCTCAGCCTCCCAAAGTGCTGAGATTATAGGCGTGAATGACCACGCCCTGCCTACTACTTCATTTTTTTTTTATAGCTGAATAATATTCCATTTTGTTCATATATCACATTTCATTTATCAGTTCATCATTTGATGAACATTTGGGTTTCTATTTTTTGGTTTTTATGAATAACCAAACTTGTGCACATGTTTTTGATTGGACACGTATTTCAGTTCTCTTAGGTGTATACCTAGAGGGAATTATTGGGCCATATAGTGATTCTATGTCTAATTTGTTGAGGCTGCACATGGTGGCTCATGCCTATAATCCCAGCGCTTTGCGAGGCTGAGACAGGAGGGTTGCTTGAGGCCAGGAGTTTGAGACTCAACTGGGCAACCTAGTGAGATCTTGTCTCCACAAAAAAAATAATTAGCTGAGTGTGTTCGTTTGCACCTATAGTCCCAGCTACTTGGGAGGCTGAGGCAGGAGCCCAGGAATTCCAGGCTGTAGTGAGCCATGATTGTACCACTGTACTCCAGCCTGGGTGACAGATCAAAACCCCAACTTAAAAAACAAAACAAAACAACAACAACAATACAACTTATTGAGGAAACAGCAAACTGTTTTCTCCACATCCTTGCCAAAACTTGCTATTTTCCATTTTTATAGCCTTTCTAGTGGGTGTTAAGTAGTATCTCATTGTGATTTTGATTTGCCTTTCTCTGATGACTAATGTTGAGTTTCATCCTGGTTATTGGTCATTCGTGTATAGTCCATGCAGAAATTCAGATCATTTGCTCATTTTTATATTGGGTTTTCTTTTTATTACTGAGTTATAAGAGTTCATTGTATATTTTGGATGCACACCCCTTATCAGATAGATACATGATTTTTTTTTTCCTATTCTGTGGGTTACCTTTTCACTTTCATGGTGGTATCCTTTAAAGCACAAATAGTTTGTTTATTTTGATGAAATCTAAATTATCTGTTTTCTTTTGTTGCTCATTCTGTTGATGTCATAGTTAGGAATTTTTTTTTACCATATCTACATCTGTAAAGATTTATTCCTATGTTTTCTTCTGAGAGTTTTATCATTTTAGCTCTTACATTTAGGTCATTTATTCATTTGAGTTGATTTTTTATATGGTATGCAGTAAAGGTGCAGCTTAATTTTTTGTACATCACTGGCCAGTTGTCCCATCATCATTTATTGAAAAGTCTCTTCTTTTCCCTTTAAATAGTCTTGGCATTCTTTTAAAAAATTGGTTGACCATAGATGCTTGGGTTTATTTCTGGACTCTCTATTCTGTTGATTTGTCTGTGTATCCTCATGCTGGTACTACACTCTTTTAATTACTGTTGCTGTGTAGTAAGTTAGAAGTATGAAAGTGTGAGTCTTAAACTTTGTTCTCTTCAAGTTTATTTTGACTATTCTGAGTTTTCTGCTATTCCATCTGATTTTTAGAATCAGCCTGTTAATTTCTATGAAGAAGTCACCTGGGATTTTGATAGGAATTGGATTTAATCTGTAGAGCAAATTGGGGTTTATTATGATCCTAGCAGTAGTCTTCTGGTTCTAGTCTTCTGATTCATGAAGATGACTGTTTTTTCCATTTATGTAGATCTTCTAAAATTTCTTTCAGCAATATTTGTAGTTTTTAGTGTAGAACTCTTATACTTCCTTTGTTTGATTTTTTTTTCCCAGTAATGTATTATTGTTAATATTGAGTGTAAACTTGATTGGATTGAAGGATGCAAAATACTGTTCCTGGGTGTGTCTGTGAGGGTGTTGCCAAAGGAAATTAAAATTTGAGTCAGTGGACTGGGAGAGGTAGACCCACCCTCAGTCGGGGTGGGTGCAATCTAATCAGCTGCCAGCATGGCTAGAATAAAGCAGGCAGAAGAATATGGAAAGACTAGACTGGCTGAGTCTTCTGGCATTCATCTCCCCCCACCCCCTTCCTGGATGCTTCTTGCCCTTGAACATCGGACTCTTAAGTTCTTCAGCTTTTGGACTCTTGGATTTACACCAGTGGCTTGCCAGGGGCTCCTGGGCCTTCTGCCACAGATTGAAGGCTGCCCTGTCAGCTTCCCTACTTTTGAGGTTTTGGGACTCGGACTGGCTTCCTTGCTCTCAGCTTGCAGACGGCCTTTTGTGGGACTTCACCTTGTGATCGTGTGAGTCAATACGCCTTAATAAACTTCCTGTCATGTATACATCTATCCTATTAGTCCTGTTCCTCTAGAGATCCCTGACTAATACATAATGTTTTTGATGCTATTGTAAATGGAATTTTTTTTAATACTTTTAAGTTCTAGGGTACATGTGCACAACGTGTAGGTTTGATACATAGGTATACATGTGCCATGTTGGTTTGCTGCACCCATCAACTCTTCATTTACCTTAGGTACTTCTCCTAATGCTGTCCCTCCCCCAGCCCCCCAGCCCCCGACAGGCTCCCATGTGTGATGTTCCCCGCCCTGTGTCCAAGTGATCTCATTGTTCAATTCCCACCTGTGAGTGAGAACATGCAGTGTTTGGTTTTCTGTCCTTGTCATAGTTTGCTGAGAATGATGGTTTCTAGCTTCATCTATGTCCCTGCAAAGGACATGAACTCATCCTTTTTATGGCTGCATAGTATTCCATGGTGTATATGTGCCACATTTTCTTAATCCAGTCTATCACTGATGGACATTTTCAGATTTTTCATTGCTAGTTATAGAAATACAATTGATTTTTGTATATTGATCTTCTATCCTGTAACCTTGCTCAACTTGTCACTTCTAATGGTTTTTTTTATATGTAGTTTTACTGCTTTTTAATCTAGATGCCTTATATTTCTTTTTTTTTTTTTTTTTTTTTTTTGGCTTTTGCCTAACTGCCCTGCCTAGAACCTACAGTACAGTGTTGAATAGAAGTGGTGAGCGCAGACTTATTTTTTCTTATTTCTAATCTTAGTGGGTTAAGTATCCAGTTTTTCACCATTATGAAATACTGCTATGTATGTTAGCTGCAGATTTTTCTTCTTCTTTTTTTTTTTTTTTTGAGACGGAGTCTTGCCCTGTCATCCAGGCTAGAGAGTGGCATGATCTTGGCTCTCGGCAACCTCCACCTTGCCTCCTGGGTTCAAGCGGTTCTCCTGCCTCAACCTCCTGAGTAGCTGGGATTAGAGGTGCCTGCCACTGCACCCAGCTAGTTTTTGTATTTTTAGTAGAGGTGGGGTTTCACCATCTTGGCCAGGCTGGTCTCAAATTCCTGACCTCATGATGCATTTGCCTTGGCCTCCCAAAGTGCTGGGATTACAAGCATGAACCACCGTGCCTGGCCAGCTGTGGATTTTTCACAGATACCCTTGATCACATTGTGGAAGATCCCTTCAAGAGCTACTTTGTTGAATGTTTTTATTACAAAAGAGTATTGGATTTTTTCCAGTTCTTTTTTCTGCATCTGTTGAGCTGATCATGTGATTTGTTTTTTAAATTCTATTGATATGATGTAGTCTATCAGTTGGTTTTCTAATGCCGAACCAACCTTGTATCCCTGACATTAATCTCACTATCATGATTTATAATTCGTTTTCTATATTGATGCTTTTGGTTTGCTTGTATTTCATTGAGGATTTTGTGTTCATATTCCTAAGAGATATTGCTCTATAGTTTTCTGGTGATATGTTTATCTGATTTTGGTGTCAGAGTAATACTGTCCTAAAATGAATCGGGAAGTGTTTTCTTCTCTTTTTGTAACGAGTGTGAGGAATTAGTATTAACTTCTTTAAATATTTAGTGGAATTCAACTGTGAAGCCATCTGGACCTGGCCTTTGTGGGTCGTTTCTTGATTACTAATTCAATCTTTTACTTGTTATAGGTCTGTTCAGATTATCTATTACTTCTTGAGTTGGTTTTGGTAGTGTGTAGCTTTCTAGGAGTTTTTCCCTTTCATCTAATGTATATAATATATTGATATACAATTGTTTATAGCATTCCTGTATAATCTTTTTTTACTTCTTTCAACTTAGTAGTGATGTCCTAACTTATATATGATCCTACTAATTTGAGTCTTCTCTCTTTTGTTCGTGGTCAATCTAGCTAAAGTTTTGTTAATTTTGTTAATCTTTTCAAAGAACACCTTTGGTTTCCTTTATTTTCTCTATTGTTTTTCTATTTTTGATTTCATTTACTTTTTGCTCTAAGCTTTATTATTTCCTTCCTTCTGCTTGCTTTAGGTTTATTTTGCTCTTCCTTTTCCAGTGTCTTAAGGTTGATAGGTTATTGGTTTGAGATCTCACTTTTTCTTTATATATGCATTTACAGCTATAAATTTTTCCCTTTTCACTGCTTTAGCTAATCCCGTAAGTTTTGTTCTGTTGGATCTTTATTTTCATTCATCTCACATATTTAACACGTATTTGTAAGTTTTCCAATGTTTTTGGTTACTGATTTCTAGTTTCATTCCATTGTAGTTGGAAAACATACTTTGTATTATTTCTAAATTTTAAATTTCTTTAAAATTATTGAGGTTTGTTTTATAGCTAACTATATGATCTATCCTGGAGAAGTTTCATGCGTGCTAGAGAAGAATGTATGTTCTGCTTTTGATGGATAGGTGTTCTATAGATGTCTGTTAGGTTTAGATGGTTTATAGCGTTGCTCAATCCTATATTTCTTTTTTTTTTAATTTTTAAAACTTTTTTTATATTTCTTAACTTTTATTTTAAGTTCAGGAGTACATATGCAGGTTTGTTATATAGGTAAACTCAGGTCATGTGGGTTTGTTGTACGGATTATTTCATCACCCAAGTTATAAGCCTGGAACTTATTAGTTATTTCTACAGATTTTCTCTCTCCTCCCACCCTCTACCCTCAGGTAGGCCCCAGTATCTGTTGTTCCTCTCTATGTGTTCATCTGTTCTCATCAATTAGCTCCCACTTATAAGTGAGAACATGCAATATTTGATTTTCTGTTGGTGTGCTAGTTTGCTAAAGATAATGGCTTTCACCCATGTTCCTGCAAAGAAGATAGTCTCATTCTTTTTTTATGGCTGCATAGTATTCCATAATGTATATGTACCACATTTTCATTGTCCAGTCTACCAATGATGGGATTTAGGTTGACTCCATATCTTTGCTATTGTGAATAGTGCTGCAGTGAGCATATGTGTGCATGTGTCTTTATAATAGAATGATTTATATTCCTTTGGGTATATACCCAGTAGTAGAATTGCTGGGTCGAGTGGTAGTTTTTTTTTAGCTCTTTAAGGAATTGCCACACTGCTTTCCACAAATGGTTGAACTAATTTACAGTCCCACCAGCAGTGTATAAGTGTGCCTTTTTCTCCGTAACCTCACTAGCATCTGTTATTTTTTGACTTTTTAGTAATAGCCATTCTGACTGATGTGAGATGGTATCTCATTGTGGTTTTGATTTTCATTTCTCTAATGATCAGTGATGTTGACCTTTTTTTCATATGCTTTTTGGTCACAGTGTATCTTGTTTTGAAAAGTGTCTGTTCATGTCCTTTGCCCACTTCCTAATGGGATTGTTTGTCTTTTGCTTGTTAATTTACGTTCCTTGTAGATATTGGATATTAGACCTTTGTTGGATGCATAGTTTGCAAATATTTTCTCTCATTCTGTAGGTTATCTGTTTACCCTGTTGATAGTTTCTTTTGCTGTACAGAAGCTCGCTCTTTTAATTAGATCCCATTTATCAATTTTTGCAATTGCTTTTGGCATTTTTATCATGAAATCTTTGCTCATTCTTATGTTCAGAATAGTATTGTCTAGGTTGTCTTCCAGGATTTTTATAGTTTTAGGTTTTACATTTAAGTCTTTAATCCATCTTGAGTTAATTTTTTATACGGTGTAAGGAAGATTCAATCTTCCAGCTTCAGTCTTCTGCCTATGGCTAGTCAGTTATTCTAGCACCATTTATTGAATATGGAGTCTTTTCCCCATTCCTTGTTTTTGTTGGCTGTGTCAAAGATGAGATGTTTGTGGGTCTGTGGGCCTATTTCTGGGTTCTCTAACCTGTTCTATTTGTCTATATATCAGTTTTTGTACCAATACCATGCTGTTTTGGTTATGGTAGCCATGTAGTAGTTTGAAGTCAGGTAACATGATATCTTCAGCTTTGTTCTGTCTGCATAGGATTGCCTTAGCTATCTGAGCTCTTTTTTGGTTCTATGTGAATTTTAGAATAGTTTTTTTTTTTAGTTCTATGAAGAATGTGATTCATACTTTCCTAAGAATAGCATTGAATCTATAAATTGTTTTGGCAGTATGGCCATTTTAACGATATTGATTCTTCCAATCCATGAGCATGGAATGTTTTTCCATTTGTTTGTGTTATCTCTGATTTATTTGAGCAGTGTTTTGTAGTTCCTTTTGTAGAGATCTGTTACCTCCCTCATTAGCTGTATTTCTAGATATTTTATTTTTCTGACAATTATGAGTGGGATTACATTCCCGATTTGTCTCTTGGCTTGACTGTTGTTGGTGTATAGGAATGCTAGTTATTTTTGTATGTTTATTTTGTATCCTGAGACTTTCCTGATCAAAAAGTTAGAAAGATCTCAATTTAACAACCTAACATCACAACTAAAAGAACTAGAGAACCAAGAGTAAACCAACCCCCAAAACTAGGAGAATACTACAAATAATCAAAATCAGAGCTGAACTGAAGGAGATTGAGACATGAAAAACTATTCAAATGATCAAGAATTCCAGTTGATTTTTTGAAAAAAAATTAATAAAATAGACTGCTAGCTAGACTAATGAAGAAGAAAAGAGAGAAAATCCAAATAAACACAATTAAGAATAAGGGGAATATCACCACTGACCCCACAGAAATACAAACAACCATCAGAGAATACTATAAACACCTCTGTGCACATAAACTAGAAAATTTAGAAGAAAAGGATAAATTCCTGGACACATATACCTTCCTAAGACTGAACCAGGAAGACATTGATTCCCTAGACAGACCAATAATGAGCTTTGAAATTCAATCAGTGATAAATATCATACAACTAAAAAAAGCTCAGGACTGGATGGTTTCACAGCTGAATTCTACCAGAGGTATGAAGAAGAGCTGGTACCATTTCTATTGAAACCATTCCAAGAAAATGGGGAGGAGGGACTCCTCCCTAACTAATTCTATGAGGCCAGCATCATCCTGATACCAAAACCTGGCTGAGACACAACAACAACAAAAAAGAAAACTTCAGGCCTATATCCTTGATAAACATTGCAAAAATTCTCCACAAAATACTGGCAAACTGATTCCAGCAACACATTAGAAAATGTATCCATCATAACCAAGTAGGCTTTATCCCTGGGATGCAAGGTTGGTTCAGCATATGCAAATCAATAAACGTAATTCATCACAAAAACAGAACTAAAGACAAAAACCACATGCTTACCTCAATAGATGTAGAAAAGGCTTTTGATGAAATTTAACCTCCTGTAATGTTAAAAACCCTCTATAAACTAGGTATTGAAGGAACATACCTCAAAATAGTAAGAGCCATCTATGACAAATCCACAGCCAAGATCATACCGAATTGGCAAAATCTGGAAGCATTCCCCTTGAAAAGTGGCACAAGACAAGGATGTCCTCTCTCACCTATTCAACTTAGTATTGGACATCCTACCCAGAGCAATCAGTCAGGAGAAAGAAATATCAGGCATCAAAATAGGAAGAGAGGAAGTCAGTCTGTCTCTGTTTGCAGACAACACGATTTTATATCCAGAAAACCCCATAGTTGTGGCCCCAAAGCTCCTTAAGCTGATAAAAATTCTTGTATTTTCTTAGTAATCTTCTGCTTGGTTTTATATCCAGTATTGAAAGTGTGATATTGCACCCTCCGACTGTTATTGTTGAATTATTTATTTATCTTTCATCTCTCCATTCTGTATTCCTTTTCAGTTTCAATTAGTATATGTTGGTACTTTGCTTATACACAAACACACATACACGCACACACAAACACAGACGCCCTGTATAATGGGTAAAGTAATTTGTGAATTTGAATTATCATCTGAAGTTACTTGCTTTCAGCCTGAAAAACTTCCTTTAAGGTGTCTTGTAAGGTAAGTCAGCTATCAACAAAATCTCTTAGGTTTTTTGTGTTTTTTTTTTGTTGTTGTTGTTTTTTGAGATGGAGTTTCACTCTTGTTGCCCAGGCTGGAGTGCAATGGCACAACCTCAGCTCACTGCAACCTCTGCCTCCCCAGGTTCAAGTGCTTTTCCTGCCTCAGCCTCCCATGTGGTGGATTATAAGCATGCGCCACCAAGCCCAGCTAAATTTTTTGTATTTTTAGTAGAGACAGGCATTCTGCATATTGGTCAGGCCTGTCTTGAACTGCTGAACTCAGGTAGTCCTCCCGCTTCGGCCTCCCAAAGTGCTGGGATTACAGGCATGAGCCACCGCACCTGGCCCATACTTGGAATTTGTTAAGCTTCCTGGATGTGTGTTTTTCAATAAATTTCAGAAGATTTAAACTATTGTTTTTTCAAAATTTTTTTGCTCTTTTCTTTCCTTTGGGTATGCTTATTATGTGTATGTTGGTGCACTTAATGGTGTTTCACCTTTTTCTGATTCTCTTAATTTTTCTTCATTTTTTTCTTCATCTATCTGTCTTTCTATCTGTCTGTCCATCCATCCATCCATCCATTCAATTTTGAGACAGAGTGTTGCTCTCTTGCCCAGGCTGGAGAGCAGTGGTGTGATCATAGCTCATGGCAGCCTTGAACTCCTGGGTTCAAGGATTCCTCACACCTCAGCTTTCCGAGTAGCTGAGACTACAGGCATGCACCACCACACCTGGCTAATTCTTTTATTTTTTGGAGAGACGGAGTCTTGCTATGTTGCCCAGGCTGGTCTCTAACTACTGGCCTCAAGCAATCCTCCCTCCTCAGCTTCTCAAAGTGATGGGATCACAGGTAGGAGCCGCCATTCCTGGCCTTGTTTTTGTTCTTCAAATGTCATAATATCCATCTGTCTTCCAGTTTGCTGATTATTTCTTCTGACAGTTTGACTCTACTATTGAATCCTTCTAGTTAATATTTAATTGCAGTTACTGTAGTGTATAATTTCATAATTTTCTTTTTTTTTTTAAAGTGCTATCTCAGTTTCCTATTTCATTTGGACTTGTGTTTATTTCTTTGGTCATTGTTTAATTCTTTAATCACGGTTCTCTTTAGTTCTTTGAACATATTTACAATGCCTACTTTGAAGTATTTTTCTATTATATTTGACATGTGGTTACCTTCACAGGCAATTTCTGTTGCTTGCTTTTTTCCCTCTAGTATATGGATCATACTTCTCCATTTCTTTACATGCCTTATAATTTTTCATTAGAAAATGAACATTTTAGTTAATATATTGTGGATACGCTGGATATTTGTCCCATGTTTCCACTGGGGCTAGTTATTGTTGCCTGCTTGCTTATTTTTCTTTTTAAATCACTTTGCTAAATTATTTTAGTGGAGATGATTTCATCCCCTCTCACTTCACAGTATTAAGCTTCTGATGTTGTTTGTTACGGAGATGCATCTTTGGGTATGTCCACAGTTACCCTGGTATGGTTTTGGCAGGGCTCTTTCTCCTTTTACTGATTATAACTAGCTTTGAAACTATCAATCTCAAGCTTATTACTGTCTCGTTTGCAACATTTTGTGGGGACATAAATTTCTCTACAAACTAATCCAATAACTCTGTGGCCCCTTTGAAAGAATGATTTTAGAGGTCAGTGTTGACATTTATCCTGAACCCAATGGGCTCCTCTCTGTTGTCTCTTTACTCAGTTCTCTCCTCCTATACAACCTAGTCCTTCAATCTATGACTCTTTTTTCTAGTTGTTGTTCACCACAATCTTAGATGTTTTTCATAGAGTACTTAGGCTTCAAATTTTTGCCCTGTTGAATGTTTGAATTTTTGGCAATATGAAAGGTTAACAGAAATCAATGTAATTTTAAGGTTTTTTTTTATATCGAGGTTTTTTCTTTCTCTTGTTAAAGACAAAAGAGTGTTTTTTACTGTGTTTTGATATATGTAAGGACTATTTGTAATTTCATTCTATAAACTGTCCTTTGTATATTTTTAAGTTTCTCTACTTTTCTGATAAGAACAATCACTTCACTTATAGTATGATTTGATATTAAGTGTAACTAGAATAAAGAATAAATTCTGATCAGAATATTTTGAACTTGAATTTCACTGAGGGATTGTTGTATTATTAACAGAATTGGTGATGAAGGGAGAAAGATTTGAGAAAGGAGGTGATAACTTTAGTTGTGTTTTTTTTCTATATTTGATCTTATCGGAGCTATAATTTAGCACTTTAATGTTAACATTTATAAAAATTAATATATGTTATTTTAAATACAGAGTTAATACTTGTAAGAGCAGGACTGTGCAAGATTGTGGAAAAACTGGAGTTGGACAAATGGGCCTATCATTCATTTCCATTGTGGTCATCACTTATGTGATTTTTTGATTCAACTCCAGAAATATTTACGTTGTTGGACACTGTTTCTAGGTGACTTTAGTATGGGCGGGGGGTAAACATGGACAAAAATCCTCCTCTTGCCACCCCGCCCGGCCACATCTTCAGTACTTTTACACATGCCTGAAGGATATAAGAAAGGAGGATTAAACGTGGATCTTGTGTTTATTATTTTGTCTAGACTATTTACTTGCTTTTATTTTTTCACAGATCTGTCAATACTTCTTATCAGCTTTTTAGGAATCTTAATGTAGATTTAGTGTCATCTCTTATACTTGTTATGTTAACCATTTTTGAGGTTGTAGGAGGGCCTTAAAGTGTTTGCAACTACTAGCAATTGAAGGAGATTAAACAGCAACAACAACACAAGATCAAAAACTTAATCTTCATCCTGTGTTGGTTGGAGTTTGCCAAAAGACTTTTTTATGTTGTCAAAAGCAACCTACTTAGGATTCTTTCTGTTTTGAGATTTTGTATATAGACAATATTTACTTTTATTTAGAAAGAGTTTAATCTAGTAAACAAAACATATGCTTCTAATGATTCCCTTTGAAAAAATATGACACTTATTTAAGGGTTAAAAATTTGAAAGAAAATACTGTTACGAATACAACATGTCTTTGATACATCTTAATTAATTAGCACTTGCCATTTGTCTTGCACTATTTTAACTCTTGGAGAAACAAAGAGTAAAGTTTCCTTGAAGGAGGACATAGAGTAATGAGAAATCTTTGTATGCTGTTTAACTGCCATAAAACATAGTAAAGATAGAGAAAGCCGTGGAGAAGAGTTATTATTTGAGCTAGATTTTGAAGGCTGAAAGGAGAGGTTACTGTGCTGAGGAGATTAGAAAGGTCATTCTGCCTAGTAAGACCAGCATGTAGAGACACATGGACATGTGAAAGAGCATGCCTTCAGAGTAGCAGATGGATTGGTGTCATTCAATGATAAGGACTTATGAGTTGGGGAAAGCAAGAATGTGATGCCAGACTGGCTTATTGGGACCAGCAATAGAAGGTATCAATCATGTGGGCGTACTTAGAAGTTTGGATTTTATCTTGTAAGGATCAGGATACTATGAAGGATTTTAAACCATGGTATTATGTGAACAGATTTGCGTGTTAGTATAGTAGAGGTTTCCTTCTGGTGTACCAGGGCATATGACATAATGGGTTGTAGGTGGGCTGGGATACTATTCTTATTAACTAACTCTCAAGGAAGTTGTCTGGGCCAAGGATCACTTGGGCTTTTAATTAGTCTTTTTTGTTCAGAGTAGCCTCATCCATTTACTTCATATACTTTACAAATATTATGACTTTCCAAATGTGCTATGGCATGAAAAAGCTATAGAAATGTGGGTATAAAGTAAGTAGAGTGTGACCATTTAAAAATGTTTTATAGTAATCTTGGCCATCAGTTATCAAAATTTATGATCTCAGAACCTCTTTATGCTCTTAAAAGTTATTGAGTACTCTACAAGATTTTGTTTATGTGGTTTATGTCTATTGGTATTCACTATACCAGAAACTAAAACTGAGAAACTCTTCAAGTACAGTCATGTGCTGCATAAGGATGTTTTGGTCAGTGACGGACTATATACAACAGTGATGCTGTAAGATTATAATAGAACTGAAAAATTTCTATCACCAGTGACATCTTGATGATCCTGACTTTATGTAGGCCTAAGCTAATGTGTTTTTTTGTGTGAAGTTTTAATTAACAAGTTGAAAAAATAAAAATTTTAAAAATAGAAAAAAGCTTATAGAATAAGGTTCTAAAGACAGACAATATTTTTGTACAGCTGTACAGTGTGTTTGTGTTTTAAGCTAGGTATTGTTATAAAAGAGTCAAACAGTTAAATGTAAAGTTTATGAAGTAAAAAGTTACAGTAAGCTAAGGCCAACTTACTAGTGAATACTATTTTTTTTTTTGAAAAAATAAATGTAGTGTAGCCAAAGTGAATAGTGTTTATAAAGTCTACGGTAGTACATTAACATCCTAGGCCTTCACATTCACTCATTACTCACTCACTGACTCAACTAGAGTAATTTCCAATCCTGCAGGCTCCGTTCATAGTAAGTGCTCTTTCAAGTATACAGTTATACCATTTTTTATCTTTTGTACAGTAGTTTTTACTGTATCTTGTCCGTGTTTACATATGGTTAGATACACCAATACTTACCATTGCATGTCAGTGGACTCCAGTATTCAGTATAGTAGCATGGTGTACAGGTTGGTAGCCTAAGATAAATAGGCTACACCATATAGTCTAGCTGTGTAGTATACTGCCTCATCTAGGTTTGTGTAATTACACTCTATGATGTTCCCACAAAATCACCTAGTGGTGCATTTCTCAGGATATGTGTTGTTAAGTGACACATGATTACATATATTTATTCATTTTAAAATAACAATAATAATAGAAGTTAGCAGTTTGATGAAAATTAACTATATTTTCCAAAACTGTAAAATATAGAAAGAAAAGTATCATTATTTTACATTTTTGCAATCTTTTTAATATCTGGTTTAATAGAAAGCAGATTCTCATACCTGCTTCTGTAATCAATCTGCTATGATATATATTTTTGGTTTAAGCCTACAAAGGGAATCCAGGCTCACATAGATACACAGTTAGAAAAGAGAATAATATTTTAAAAGCGTTTTCAAATAATTTTTAATATTCTTTTTTGATACTAAATTAAAACTTGACAAGCAGTAGTTTCTTGCAGTTTAGTTACAATGAAAATCTGGCATATCAATGAATTTTTATGCTAGGTTTTGTGAAAATCTATTGGTCTCATTTTTAATGGATTTTTTTACCCATGTATAATTTTATAACATCATATATGAGTCTTTTGGAAAATAATTGATTGAGTGAGTTATGCAAATCTTCTGAATGTTGACGCATTTGATTATATAATAGAAAAAGAATTCATTCATTAATATTATCACTGGTATCATCAGAAAAGTCTTAAGTATTGGGAAATGGTCAAATTTACAGTGGTGGATACAGTTTTTCAAAATTCTAATTTTCTCTTGAAACCTTGCATTTTAGCATTGGCAACAAATACATTCAGTTGTTTTCCTTTGTGTAGGAGGCTCACTTTCATTTTTGAGAAAATGTTTGTCAGATACCCTAATCTGAATAATCAATTTGTTTTTAGCCTTTATTTCAAATCAAAATGATGTTACATAGAAAGCCTCTTCACTAGCAATTTTATACATACTTTTATAAAATTTTTACAAAATACTTTTATACATAACATTTATTCTATATATAGTAGGAGTAATTTTATACATACTTCCCCTTTTGTCACACAGAATATTAAAAAAGATACATACTCATGATATGAAATTTACAAAACTGATAATTTTTATTGCATTACTTACGGACATTCTTAAGTGAAGTTGGCTTTGTGTTGTTGTTGTTTGTATTTGTGCTTGTATGACAGTGAAGAATACAATCATTACTAATTTATTTGACACTATTAGCTTGATTTATGCTAAGGCACCAGCAGTTTTACCCACCATTGCTTTTGCACCATCAGTACAAATGTCACCAGAATGAGAAAGGCAAATAATAGCTAAGTATTATCATGAAAATAATTTTGACCATGTGGGCCCCCTAAGTGTCCGGGACTTCTAGGACTCCATATGTCATACTTTGTTGATGGATAATTCTTTGCGGAAGTATGGAGGGTAAGGGAACACAGACATTATGTCTTGTCTACCAGCATCCTTTATCCTTGTCTGTCCTAAACCCTTTCTGCCACATATTATTAATATCTTTTTTTTGAGGGGAGGGAGGGTGGGTGTCACAAGTTATATATTTACTTTCATATTTCTTGACCATTTTCCTGTTATCTTGCTTCTTTACTGCTTCCTCTGCTGTTTCCCTGTACAAGTTTCTTAACTTCAATTAATGTCTTTTATATTACCGAATTTGGTATCTTTTTTATTACAATATATTGCATATTCATTTCAGGGTCACAGTTTTCTGGAAAATATTCAACAGTGTTAATATAGTGCAGTGGAGAGTTCTTTAGGCTTGGATTCAGATAGATGTCATTTTAGAAAACACTACTATTAGTTGTAACTTTGGCCAATTTGTGTAAATTTTCTAAAGCTTTATTTTCTTAAGTCCAAAAATAACAATAATAATACCTTAATTTGAAAGTAGTATTAGGAGGATTTGCTTGATAGGATTAGCAAAATGCCTATCATAGTACCTGGCATATAATGTGTTCAATAAAAAGTACTGGCCAATAGAATTAAAATTGATTGGACAGGACTATTCTTAATAATTCATTTTGTTTCTTTTGTTGTCCCTTTGTGTGCATAACTTCAGTAAAATGAACAGCAAAAAGAAAATATTTATTAAACTTTTAATGTCCATATACACAAAGTAAATTTTTATTTTATGGTTTTATTTGTGTGGATTCTCTGAGAATGGTTAGAATTTGGTTAATATGACATCTTCATATGCAAAATTAGAGCATTATATTTCTAAACAAGAAATATATACATGTATCTTCCCAGATCATACTCGCGGAAACCTAGAGACTTCCTAGAATAGTTATATTGTGCAATTATGTGGTTGAAACTCTGAATCCTAACACTGGTTCTCTAACTCTGACATCAACTTAATCTTTGGTAACTACTCTGCATAGGAGAGTGGGATATGCTTCGGAAATTTTCATAAAGTTATGTAAAGCACTTGCAGCACTTTGTTTTAGATTTCAGACTTATTTAGCATTTAAAATACATGTAAAAAATTGGCACGAAGTCATGATTCATTAAAACATTCTAATGGTTCTTTAACGCTAAAAATTACACTGTTGTATAGTAGTTGTAAGAAAAATAGTACTCTGGACTCTATTTGGGAAAACCAGAATGATATGTTGAAGAGCAAATTAAATTATTTTAGAATTTCATTTGGTTATACCAAGAATTTGTTATTCTGTGATTTGGAGTTATATATTCAAATCGTAATTTTTAAAAATTGAATAATGTTTTTTAATTATGTAATTGCAGAAAGCCTTTATAAAGCTTCTTGGCAATGTGAAGAGTCATTTTTCTTAGTTTAAGGTACCATTTTTATTAAATTTTTTGAGTATTTCTATATTAGTTTGGCTTTACACCTCTGTTGAATAGGTTGTTAATAACTTGAAAAAGTTAAACTTTGAGATAACTGATGTTTGTTACTTTTTTCTCTTTTTATAAGCTATTTGAACTGCTGGGACCTGAAGGACTTGAACTTATTGAGAAACTCCTCCAGAACAGAATTACAATTGTGGATAGATTTCTTAATTCTTCAAATGATCATAGGTTTCAGGCTCTTCAAGGTAAGAAAGTATGCAGTGGTCATTGTAATTTAAAGGAAATATTCATTGGTTAGCAAATGTTTTTAATGTAATTACATTTTAAAATATGTTTTGGTCTGTTATATAATTTACTGATATTACTCTGTTAAATAGATTTTAGATATGGCATATTATGAAAAAACGTAAGTGATCTAAATAGGAGGGCAGTGTTTGGGTATGGCAGTTTTTGGTAAAAGTTAAAACTACTTAGAATACACAACTTTCTTCTTTTATTTTGCATATAGGAGGTACACGTGCAGGTTTGTTGCATGAGTATATTGTTTGATGCCAAGGTTTGGGATATGGATTCTGTCACCCAAGTGATGAACATAGTTCTTGACAGGTAGTTTTTTAGCCCTTTCCCTACTCCCTCTCGCTCCCCTTTTGGAATCCCTAGTGTCTGTTGTTTCCATCTTTGTGTCTGTGTGTACCCAATGTTTAGCTCTCACTTACAAGTGAGAACACGAGGTATTTGGTTTTCTACGTTAATTCGCTTAGGATAATGGCCTCCAGCTGCATTCATATTGTTGCAAAGGACATCATATAGTCATGATTAATTAAAACATTCTAATGGTTCTTTAACTGTAAAATGACAGCTGTTATGTAGTAAGTTGTAAGAAAAATATTACTATGGACTCAATTCAGGAAACAGAACAATTTCTTCTTTTTATGGCTACGTAGTGTTCCATGGTACATATGTACTGCATTTTTGTTATCCAGTCCACTGTTGATGGGCACTTAGGTTGATTCTGTGTCTTTCCTGTTGTGAATAGTGCTGTGATGAACATGTGAGTCCATATGTCTTTTTGGTAGAATGATTGATTTTGTAGGGGGTATATACCTAGTGATAGGATTGCTGGGTCAAATGGTAACTCTGTCTTAAGCTCTTTGAGAAATCTCTAAACTACTTTTCATAGTGGCTGGACTAATTTACGTTCCCACCAACAGTATATAAATGTTCCCTGTTTTCTGCGGCTGAGCCAACATCTGTTATTATTTGACTTTTTAGCAGTAGCCATTCTGGCTGGTGTGAAGTGGTATCTCATTGTGGTTTTGATTTGTGTTTCTCTGATGATTAGTGATGATGAGCATTTGTTGGCTGCTTGTATGTCTTTTATTGAGAAGTGTCTGTTAATGTCCTTTGCCCATTTTTTAATGTGGTTATTTGTTTTTTGCTTGTTGATTTAGGTTCCTTATAGATTCTGGATATTAGGTCTTTGTCAGATACAGTTATTTTCTCTTGTTCTGTAGGTTGTCTGTTTACTCTGTTGACAAGTGGGACCTAATTAAACTGAAGAGCTTCTGCATAGCAAATTTTCTTTAAAAAGAAAAAATATATATACTTACTATGGGCCAGGTAGTAGTGTAATTTCTCTCCAACTTTTTATTTTGACAACTTTCAAACTTAAAGTTACAAGAATAATACAATGATCACTGTTTACCCTTCACATAGATTCATTAGTCATTAACATTTTGCTCTTCCTAGACCCGTTACCCACACACCTACTTTTTAAATTTTTGCTGAACAATGACAGGAAGTTCTAGACATCATGATTCTTTACCTGTAAAATCTTTAGCACATGTCTAAGCACAATACAATTATCACACTGAGCAAATTGAACACTGATAGTGTCATGTATTACACATATTTTAAATCCCGGAAAAATTAAGAGTTGGCTAGGGAACAAAACTTATTTTTATAAAAGCTTGACTTAAAACATAGCTGATGCGAAACTCAGGTTTTAAGTGGTAAATAGGAAAACAATTTTTTTTTACCTTTACCACACTGTTTTTTGCCAGCCTTACAAATAGTTTTGGATTTTAAAAAAGTATATGAGCGTAAGAAATTTGGCAACTGTCTTCAAACTATTCAACATCTATCCTTCTTGTAAGTTACGTCCTCATTTTCTTACATTTATGATTATGACACTAAAAGGAAATGATAAAAACAGCTATAATTTAAATCTAAAATTTCTGACAGATTTTCTGTTTCTTACAGATTCTCTTGATTACTAATACATGTTCTCAGAGCCTTAAAGTTCCTTTGAGATTGTAAGAAACTTGGAAAATATAAATTTAGCAATTTTGTCTGCAGGTCTGTTTGTTCTTTGAGTGTATTGAACACTTCTACTCTGCCTTCCTCCAAGAGCGCTCCCACCTTGTATTAGTCAGTTCTCACACTGCTATAAAAATACTACCTGAGACTGGGTAATTTATAAACAAAGGAGGTTCAATTGGCTCACAGTTCCACATGGCTGGAGGCCTCAGGCAACTTGGCAGAAGGTGAAGGGGAAGCAAGGACCTACTTCACATGGTGGCAGGAGAGAGAAATATGTGCAGGAGGAACTTGCCAAACACTTATAAAACTATCAGACCTCCTGAGAACTCAATCACTATCACTAGAACAGTATGGGGGAAACAGCCCCTGTGATCCAGTCACCTCCCACAAGTTTCCTCCCTCAACACCTGGGGATTATGGGGATTACAATTCAACATGAAATTTGTATGGGGACATAAAGCCTAACCATATTACACCTGTTGAATAGTATATAATCAGAAATTGCACTAAGCCAGCAAGGTTTATGAGTATCTAAAATGGGTGTCTGCTAAGGAAAAAAAATGAGTTTAAACATCTAGTCCTGCAATGTTGTAAATTCTGAGAATTTGATATTTCATTTTGTCAGTCTCCTAAATATTAATAAAGAGATATTTACTGATTCTAGCTTTTGTTTTTAAGACACGCCCTCACACTCTTGCTCAGGCTAGGGAGCAGTGGCACAATCAGGGATCACTGCAGCCTCAACTTTCTGTGCTCAAGCAATCCTCTCATCTCAGCCTCCCGAGTAGATGGGTCCACAGGTGTGTGCCACCATGCCTGGTTAATTAAAAAAAAAATTTTTTTTTTATAAAGATGAGATCTCCCCATGTTGCCCAGGGTAGTCTTGAACTACTAGCCTCAAGCAGTCCTCCCACCTCAGCCCCCCAAAGTGTTTAGATTACAGGTGTGAGCCACAGTGCCCAGCCTGATTCTGCTTTTAATAGTGGTAATCTATTAAAATAAAGTTTAATACAAATCTAGCTTTACATATTTTTTGGAAACTGTAGATGAGTTTTGTTTATGTTTATTATGTTGATTCCATAAATTTTATAATATTAGGATAGCTTCTTAGAATCAATAAGCTTTTTGTATCAGTGTATTCTCACATTGCTATAAAGAAATACCTGAGACTGGGTAATTTATAAAGAAAAGAGGTTTAATTGGCTCACAGTTCTGCAGGATGTACATGAAGCATTAGCAGCTTTTGCTTCTGGGGAATCCTTAGGAAGCTTCCAATCATGGCAGAAGGCAAAAGGGGAGCAGGCATCTTACACATCAGGAGCAGGAGCATGAGAGCAAGGGGGAGGCTCTACACACTTTTAAACGACCGTTCTAAAAGGATACAAGCCTCTACATAGTTCTTCAGAATAACTTTGTGTTAGAATTACTGTTAAGGATATTCATTTCATTTTTGCATGTCAGTTTCTACAGTTAACCTAACCCAGCAAGGAGAACCATACATTTAAACATTCACTGCTTTACAACTTGATTTTTTGAAATTGCCTGTTATACTCAGCCTTACAGGATTCCAGTATGTTCTAATTAGACCTTTTAAGCTTTCTATGAGGTAGACATATTTTCTTCTTATAATTTTAATTTTATTTGGATGATCATAAGTATGTATAATATTTTATTACTGTCACATTTGCTTAAAATGTTAATGACTTTAGCATAGCATCTAGTATGTCACCTAAAATATTTACAGTTTTACGCTTAAAATCTTTAACATTCATTTCTGATAAATACATTTTTAAACATTCTGCTTAATATCTGTGTTGCTGATTGTGTAATTTTGCAGACAAGTTAACTTTTATGAAGAGTTCAGAGTACATGTGAAAACTGGCAGAATGTTGCATTCTTTTTCTAATACTGAACACTAATTATAAATTCTGTTATTATAGTAGGTATGTAAGACTTAATTGGAAAATAAGAGATAAAATACTTAGGAAAATGCTTTTTTCAGAACTGTAAAATTTAGTCCTAATATAGATGGGATTTTATTTTATTTCATAATTTTGAGACGTATTTTCCTTTTTAGGCCTTATAAAGCCATTATACAAGTTTTCCCTATGATTGAGAGTTTAATGACTTGTATTCAGAATTATGTAATGGGGCAGTAACAACTGTCTGAGAATTGTGAAGATTTGACTTAGAATGAATTAGAAAGCTAATTTTCCCATCTTGATGCTATTTTTAATTCCTTCTCTCTTCTGCATTGGATATTGGAATTTGATAAAATAATTTGCACTGTGCTTTGTCAGAGTATGGACCAAATCTCATTCTTCATTGTCCTCCTAGCCTAGCTGCAGTGGCTAGAACTGAGTAGGACCTCAATACAGTAAATGTTTATTGACTTGGATTACTTTCAACTACATTCCTTCTAGTTTCTTTAGAGTTTCAGTAAGTGAAGATACTGTTGCTTGTAAAGATTTAAACAAACACAGAAGGTAATCCTGTTGGAAGAACATTTTTTTCTCAATATTGAGTTGACCAAACCACAGACCTAAAGTGTACTTAGTAAACATTGAGATTTAATTCACTTGGTTTTTCCATTTTTTAAAAAACTGTGTTTCCGTAAAAAGGTGGACCATACTTTTGCTTTATTTGCTTTAGTTATTGTCTCAAATATGTCTTGAACTACTGCTAATAAATTTTATGTAATCTATAAATAACTAAGTAGTAACATATGTGCAACTTAACCGCATAAGGTCTATTACATAGTAAAAATTTATGTCTAATAGGGAAAGAGTTTATTTCATTACTATATTAACAGTAAATGCTAATTATTATCGATAATTATTATATTTATTAAAATTATATAAACAAATTATTTCAAATGATAAAATTGAATTTTTAGGTTCCTAATGTTATATGTAAGAATTTATAATGTCAGTGACATTGAACTGTTTAGTCTGTAGGAAGAAAATACTGCTGACTTTTCTTAAACCACCGTGTAATTTTATTTAGATACTGTGATTTTTAAAAACTCACCTTAAAACATATAATTGAATTTGCCAGCTTTAAAAAATGAATTGTAAGAGCATTATATGTTGTGGGGTGGAGGAAAGAAATGGTTTTCATGAAGGTTAAATCATATTCAGATTTATAAAACATTGTGTTTCTTAAATTTGCTTCTTAGACAATTGTAAAAAAATTTTAGGAGAAAATGCTAAACCCAATTATGGTTGTCAAGTCACTATTCAGTCTGAACAAGAAAAGCAGTTAATGAAACAATATCGACGTGAAGAAAAAAGAATTGCCAGACGAGAAAAAAAGGCTGGAGAAGATTTAGAAGTTTCAGAAGGACTTATGTGCTTTGATCCTAAGGAATTGCGGATACAAAGGTAATAAAAGCCAGGAGCTGAAAAATGCTTGTGTTGTAATTGCTGCTTTTACATATCATTATCACTTTTTAGTTTAGTCTTAGCAGTATAGATGATTTTTACTTCAAGTCACGTTTTCTTCATAGAAGTTTGTTTTATGAATACCTAATTTTCTGGGATAAGAAAGCAATGGTCTGTCTGCTTAATTAGAATATTCTTGGTCGCATCCAGGTAGATAAGAGATTTAGATTATAGAGCTAAGCTATTTTTAGGTGCTGTGTACACACCACTAGGTTAAGATTTATATAGCTTACATAAATTTATTTGAGATACATTTTATTTCTGTGCTCAATGTACCTTTTAAAAATTGTTGTTATTTAGAAGTAGAAAGGAGAAAAATGAAATATAAGCATTATTGCACTTGATTCTTTAAAGATTGAAACACATTTCAAAAAAGAAATGTATACCTTAATAAGTAAACATTTGAATTGTGAAAAAGCAAAATTGGAAAGAACATTAAATCAAACTTACCAAGTGGTGTTATCTATAAATAATATCTAAAAATGTACTGAATCCTATTTTGTCACTCAGAAAATTTCAGGATTCCTAAAATCTTCCTTTGTGTAGTTTAATTTCTTTTTTATGGTGGAAGGCTAGCTCCCAATATCTTTTATAATTGCCTTGTTTTGGTGTATGCATTACCTTTCAAGATAAACATTTCAAATTAGGCCTATTTTTATGTTTACAGAGAACAGGCACTTCTGAATGCTAGAAGTGTTCCAATTCTGAGCAGGCAGAGAGATGCAGACGTTGAAAAAATACATTATCCCCATGTGTATGATTCCCAGGCTGAAGCCATGAAAACATCAGCATTTATTGCTGGTGCAAAGGTATGTCATTGTTATATAACTACTGTTCAATAATATGTCTATTCTAAAGAAATGATGTGTGGATTTTCCCTGTTCCTTCGTGAGTCTAACACTAGTTGACTATGCTAAATTTTATTTTAAAGTATTGGGGAAAATGACATAATGTGGTGTATGTAAAGCTCCTGACATATAGTAGATATTCAGAACATATATGTTTCCCTCCTTTTCATTGTTTTTGCAATTTGTATTTTTGAGTTTTATCAGTTGCATTGCTGCTAGGCTAAACTTTATACTGTATGCTGTACATTTTCCTAATTATATGAATACATTTGTATTCAGGTATACCATCTAATTAGTGTATACTTTAAGATTTGTCAACATACTGTGGCCTGTGTGTTATATAAAATACCTGATATGTTAATGCTTTGTGTGAGTGGTTTTTTGCATTTGTTTTTGTTTTATTTAAGTTTGTTTTCTTTTAAATTAGCTAAGTTTATTTACCAGTGCTTTGTTATAAAACCAGTAGTGTTTTCTGTCTCTCTCTAAAGAATATTTACCAGAGCAAGTGTTTTATTTTTTATTATTATTGGATTTTTATTGTTGATGTTTATAGATGATTTTGCCAGAAGGAATCCAAAGAGAGAATAACAAGCTTTATGAAGAAGTAAGGATTCCCTACAGCGAACCAATGCCACTCAGCTTTGAGGAAAAGCCAGTTTATATCCAAGACTTAGATGAGGTGAGATGAGCCTTTTATAGAGTTGATAGTTTTGAGGCTTGGTATGCGGTATGAATGAATTTATACTGGAAAAATTGTTTTAAAACATTATTAGTTGGCAAATACAGTACAGACATATATAGTTGGTTACTAGAGAATTACAGTAGGAGAGTTTAAAAAATATATACACTATATTTCTTCATACATTAAACAAATGTGTGTATTTTTGTGCATATATTTCTATGTTTCATGTTTTTTTTCAGCTAAGATTTTGGTTTAACTTATGCAAACTGATTTAAATAAAATGTTAAAGGATTTATTTATTGTATTTGATTATATCAAATGATCAACCTATAATAAAATAGAATACATTGAGGGGGTGGCAAATTCTAAAGTAGTTTTAAGAATTTATTTTTTCTAAATTTTTAAATTTTGAATAATGTTTGCCTGTGGAAAATTGGCATGAATATTACTATCTTTATATCCTTTGCTTGGATTCACCATTTGTTAAAATTTTGGCACATTTGCTCTATTTCAAAATATAATATTCCTTAGTTTAGGTTAAAGTATTCATATTATTGAAAGTTAATCTTTTCCATATCAAAATTAAGTTGCTGTGGTTTTTCATGTATGTTCTATAGAATCATTCAGAAATAACAAATAATACAGGCAAGCAAAAACAGCAGCATAAAGCATCATAAAGAATACTCACAGCCAACCAAAATGAACTTCATTCTATATGTATGTGTCCATATGTATTTTCTTTTACAAAATGGAATTACATCATACACACTGTTTTGTGTGTGTATATATAGTTACATGTGTCTTTCTGTGTCAGTAAACATATTTCTGCAGCATCAGTTTATCACTACATACTATTCCATTTTATGCCTTTATTCTGAAATAACTTATAGTTTTAAGTTGTCTTTTACAATAAGTTCTTAGAGTAGAATAAAATTCTAGTTATATCTTGTATATCAGAAGTACTCATAGAACATTTTTATAATCCAAGTGCCTCGCTACTATTTAAGTCCTAATCTCTTCGAAGAGGTCCACGTATCAATATTTTGGGAATGATTTTTTGAAGCTCTATGGGTGATTCTACAATACAGCCAGGACTGACAGCCAATAAAACTAAACAATTATAATACAATTGTTATAAACCTTATCAATCATTATAAGCAATATCATCATTAAGATTTATTAAGTTTTATTTTATGTATTAAATATTTAATTTTAAGTTTTTTTTTTTTTTCATTTTTTTTTTTTTTTTGAGAACGAGTTTCACTCTTGTTGCCCAGGCTGGAATGCAATGGTGTGAACTCTCGGCTCACCGCAACCTCTGCCTCCTGGGTTCAAGGGTTCAAGCAATTCTCCTGCCTCAGCCTCCCAAGTAGCTGGGATTACAGGCATGCACCACTGTGCCCAGCTAATTTTTGTATTTTTGGTAGAGACAGGGTTTTGCCATGTTGGCCAGGCTGGTCTTGAACTCCTGACATCAAGTGATCCACCCGCCTCGGCCTCCCAAAGTGCTGAGATTACAGGCATGAGCCACCGCACCCGGTCTAAATCTTTACATTTTTAAAAAAACATCATTGACATTTATTTAAATTAATAATGAATGAAACAGGCTTTTAAACTTTTCTATCATACTTATTTCTAAATAAGTACTTTGTTCCATTTTTATTTGGATTCTTGGAGTAAAAGAGTTTTTCTGAGTAGGTTAATTCCCTCTGCCACCTTAATGTGCATATCTTATGTAATCTAATATATTCACAGACCTGAGGATTAGGATGTGGAGATTTTTGGGGGGCATCATTATTCTGCCTACCACACGTGATGTAGATGACCACAGTTTTGTTTTTGTTTTTGTTTTAAACTATTCACCTACTGAAGGACATTTATTTTATTGATAGTTTTTGGTGAAACTATATTCGTCTGCCATAACAAAAGACCACAGACCAGGTGGCTTAAAGAGCAGAAACTGCTTTTCTCACAGCTCTGGAGGCTGAAAGTCACAGATCAGGTGGTGCTAGCAGATTTTGTTTCTGGTGAGGATTTCTTCCTGGCTTGCAGGTAGTTACTTCTGCCTTCTTCCTGTGTTTGCACATAGCCTCTTCTCTATGTGTGTATGAAGAGAGACCTCTGGTGTTTCTTCCTCTTTTTTCAGGTTCACCAGCCCTATCAGGTTAGGACTCCACCCTCATGACTTCATTTAACCGTAATTACCTCCCTAAAAGTCCTGTCTTTAAAACAGTCACATTGAGGGGTAAGGGCTTCAGCATACAAATGTTGAAGGGCATAGTTCTTTCCATAACACAGATAAAGCTGTTATAAACCTGGTATGCAGATTTTTGTGTGAATATAAGTTTTCATTCTGTTTAATAAATGTCCAGGAATGCATTTGCTGGGTCATATTGCAACTGCATGCTTAGGTGTTTAAGACACTACCAAACCGTTTTCTAGAGTGACTGTACCATTTAACACAGCCATGAGCAATTCGATATAGTCTAGTTTCTCCACATACTAACCAGCATTTGGTGTTGTCACTGTTTTTTATTTTTATTTTAGCCACTTATATTTTTATGTATTATTTGTATTTTTATTTTAGCCATCTGATTGTAGTGATTTCTCATTGTGGTTTTAATTTGTACTTTTCTAATGGCTAATAATAACTGGGGAATAATACATTTAAGTGAAATTTGTCATTATAAATAAATAAACCATTTGCTATCATATCACTGTAGATATTGATCCTGCCAGACATCATAAGCTTGAGTAATAATACAGACATTGGGAGAAAAAATAGACATTAACAGAATGTCAGATAGTTTAGTAGATGTTTCTTTTGTCTTGGATCTTTTTTGTACCAGGTAGGATCTTTTATGTGTCAGAGAAAGTGCTATTGAAGATGAAGGTCTGTCGTTTTTCACTGAGATCATAATTGCATGCTATTCCTAACTGTCCTAAGATGCTTTTATGTCCTTTTACTGACTGTCACGTTGGATAAGTTTAATAACTTCTGTAATTTGATTAAAAACTTAAGGAGAATTTAAAAATTCTAGTACATGCAAAAATACCATTAATGTCATTAAATGGATTTTGTACTTTCTTGGAAAGGGAGCAATGTAAAAAATGTAGATGCATCTCTTGATTAGTCAGGAGTCACTCAGTTGGAACTCTTAGAAATCTAAGTCAAAGCAAGCAAGGGTGACAATTTATGGCTTTTCTACCTGGATTGTCCAGAAGTAAAGCTGCCTATGTGCCCAGCTTGGCATATAGGCTCAAATGTTATCATCAGATTTTTTTCTCCTCTTTGTCTCTTTTTCTTTATCTCCATTTCCTTTTTTTCTTTTTCCTCCCCTCTTTTCCTGCTTTCTCTTACCCACCCCCTTTTGTGTTTCTCTTATTATTTTTCATCCCCTGATTCCCAGATAGGCTTTCTCCATATAACCAGGGAAAAATGTGTGACAGCAGAAGCAGCAAACATGACCGTTTCCCCATACTATAATCCCAGAAGCAATGGGTTTTTTTTTTCCAACCAGTTCTGCCAGGAAAACAAAAAAACCTCCTAGGATGAACTCTGATTTTCCTGACTTAGGTCACCAGTTCATTTCTGAACCAATTCCTTTCCCTGTGATGTGATGTGAATGGCGTTCTTACTGACACATGGCTACTCACTTGTATATCCTCATTATCAGCTCCCCATGAGCCACCAGGAGTCAAAGGGGAGTTTCCCAAAGGAAAGGAGAGTGCTATTATTACCCTTAAAAGTAGGATGAGAAAGATGCTAAGACAGAACCATGTCTTTGATATTTTTGGTGAGAAACTCAGGTTTACTTCTTTGTTGGTGTTAAATATGTTGACTTCTGTCTATTTCCACAGTTAGGACTTAGATTTTTTAAGAGTCAGTAGGGTGTTATTCAGCAAAAATGGACTACTGGCCCAAACATAACACTTGATTTAGAAAAGTAATATAAAAGATGCATATAATATTTCATTTTAAAATTTACAATAATTGAGTCCTATAAAATCTGATTGTAAAGAATTTAAGATTTAAGTTTTCTATGAGCCTAGCTTCTTGAATCCTGTGCTTATTCGGCTAAGTTCTGGGAAAATAAAGAATAGGATATTATCTCTGATCTTAAGTTACTCAATGTAGTGTATCTGTTCCATTTCCATGGAAATAAGTGGTACAGTTGGGTTATGTTGTACAAAGTTCTATGGCAGCAGAAAAGGCAGACTAAAGAGATCAAGGAAGAAGCTTTCATGAAGGATATGAAAGCATACACTTTTGCCAGATAGACAAAGCAGGTGGTGGTGTATGCCACACAAAGGATGTTGCATGAAATTGCTGTTACCTTTGGACATCAAGCACTTCAGTCTTATTAGCATGTAGGCCATATGTGGAGAGTGCCAGGAAATGAGACTGGAAAAAGACAATTGCCTGCACATGAAGGGCTTTGAAAACCATGCTAAGAGGTTTACACTCAATATTGTGGGAAATATTACTTCTTAAAAATAGGAAAGTAAATGATCAGGTGTTTTCACTTAAAGGAATTACTCTGGCTGCAACACAAAGTTGAAGGTCTAGAGTAGAGCTGCTGCAATAATTCAAGGAAGAAAAGCTGCAAGCCTAAATTAAGAAAGGGGCAGCCTATATATACAGGGGACAACTGAGAGAAATTTAGCTGCTAGTGTATGTAAGACCTGATGACTGATTAAATAGGAGGGGATGAGGCAGAGAGAAGAATTTAGAATGAGATATAGGCTTTTTGTTTTGAGCAGTGTTGGTGAGTGATAGTGCCATTTACTAAGGTGAGGAATAGGAAATAGGAAAAACTTTTGTGCATGTTCAGCATACAGTGTTAGTTAGGAGCAAGTGTTAGTTAGGAGCAAGACCCCTGAATGTAGGCTGAGTTTCAGTCTTCACTATCCCACATTCTATCTGCCAGACTTTAGGCAAGTTACTTAACCTTTAGGCAAGTTACTTAACCTTTCTGCAACACATGATTCAAATTGCCAGGTGAGGCTAGGCTTGTATTAAGGAAATTTAGTACTTGCCAAATTAAATTAGAAATTTAATTTTTGCTCCATTTAATTTGTGCCACATTTGTGTTTCCTTCCTCATGAAATTTATGAAATCATCTTTGCTATGATGTCTGTAAATTAAAAAAAATGGTAAATTAAATTTTCAGTTTCAAACTTCATAATTTGTTAATATTTCTTGATACGACCTCTTAAAAAGGCTGTGATTTCAAGGCCATGGTTCTGATGAAATTGGTGGCATGTGTGACAGTATAATAAACAGCCTTGTGGGATGCTTTAGAAAAAGGCTTTTTAATTTGGGGCATGACCAGGTTTTAGTGACATTTCATTGTCTTCAAAGTGATCTCATGAAAAGGATCCATACTCTGAAGTATTTTTCTGGATGCTTCTTTAACTTTCTTGCCTTCATGATTTGATTGAATCAAAATATGTTGAACAAAGTAAAGCCAAAGTAAAAGTCACACTTCTTTATAACTTCTCTATTTGACTTTTTCCAAATTTTCGGTCTTAAGATAACCACAAATGTCAGTAATTATAATGACTGCTTTGTTTAGTTCTATCAGTTAATTAGAAACTAGTTTAAGATGTTTTGCTATGGTGACTATGTTGCCAGGCTTTTCAGATCTTGTAGGATAGCATCCACTACTACTCCACATGGGTTTGGAATGAAAAAGTAGCTGAATAGCATAAATGAACATAAAAATAATTTATTTCATAAAGGTAATTTCCAAAGTGACAATTAAGAAATGGAGAGAAGAAAACCCTTTCATATTTTATTTTCTTATCTGGTTTGTGGATTGCCACCCTGCTCCAAGCCAAATTATTAATTTTCTCATGCAACTCAAGTTAAAGTTTCTGTTTTAGCCTGTATCCTGAGGTCAGTTGTTAGTGCAATTTTAAAAACAGTTTTTCTCATTTTTTCATTCTAAATTGGATGAACTTGTTTAGGACATGCTGAATAAAACAACATTGGAGGAAACTATTAAATTCTTAGATAGAACCTTAAATAAAGTATTATAGGGTACTTTAATGGAAATGTAAATTTTCTCTTCTTTCCAGATATATAAATAGTTGGACTATATAAGGAGTTTTTCAAAAATAATTTATAGCACTAGCAATAATTAATTGACCATGATGATTTTACTAGTTCTAGAGCTTTGCCAGATAGACAAAGCAGGTGGTGGTGTATGCCACACAAAGGATGTTGCATGAAATTGCTGTTACCTTTGGATATCAAGCACTTCAGTCTTATTAGCATGTAGGCCATATGTGGAGAGTGCCAGGAATATCAAAGCTAGGGAACAGATATTTTAACCAAAAAAAATTCATACATTTAAAGATAGACATAATTTTACCACCTCTTGTCAATAAATTATTCAGATGTATTGTATAGCAAAATATTTGCTTCACGAAATATACCCAATTAGCACTGTTTGTATGATTTAGTGTATCAACAGGAAGTATTACTGGTTTCTAGGTATATTAAACTGATTAAGCCACAGTACAATACTAGGAAAACTGATAAGTACAGTACTGTATTATGATGATTACTTGTTGAGATTTAGTTTTTCTATCACTTTGAATACTTCTGGCTGCAGAAAACCTAGCTCATAAAAACATATACTATTATGTTATAAATAATAATTTATAGGAAGCCAAATAGTCCAGGTTCGTCCATTTGTTTGCTCAATGATGCTATTCAGAACCCAACTTGTTAATGTCTTTCTATTCTGCTATCCTCATTTTTTTGGCTTTTCCTCAAATTAACTCTCATCATGGCTGTTATTCCAGGGTCACTGTGCAAAAAAAGTCCAGTAAGAAATGAGGACTAAATTTTCCTGTGTCTATTTTAAGAGTGAGGAAATATTTTCCAGGATTCAAGGGAAACAAGTTTGCCATGTTTGGCTTAGTGAAACACATGATTTTGTCAAAGAGGCCAGATTTTCTGAATAAAAAAGTGCATTTTCATTAGAAAAAACAAAATGAAACAGTGATTGTGTGTGGACAGCTAACGCTGTCTGTGATAGGATGTGTCAGAACAAGGTTACTGGGATCATTGCAGAGTATGGCTGTTAATGAAGACTTCTTGGAGAACATGAGACTTGAGTTGCTTCTTGACTGCTTAGTCTGTGGGCATTGATCTTCATCGGAAACAGTGATAATGAACTAAACAATTGTTTCCTTAATAGAGCTGTTTTGGGTATACAGAGAAAAGAATAGTTCTTGACTTCATGTTGCAACTTTTGTGTGGACCTGGCATAAAATGTTGGAGATTATGTCTTATCTGTGACATCTTTTATACAGAATCTTCCAAATTAAGTTTTGTTATAAAAACTTGGTCACTGTCAAGAAGGCCATGATTTTATGTGTTGGAGTATTATTTAGAGTGCAACTATGGAAACTGTAAGGAAAAACTTTTAAAATTCTCAGTTTATTCTTGAAAGTAATTGGGGATTTTTGATACATTCAGTGTGGTACATGCTTTTAATAATTATTATTTTCTGTTTGGGCTATCAATAGATGCTTAATATGTTTAAAAATGATATATTGGATAATCTTCCTTATAAAATTATAAATAAGAAATTTTTATCAATTTTTGACTCTCAGCAATTATTTAAATTATTAAAAAATAATGTTTACTTGTTATGAAAATGCTTTATCATTCAAAACTATGAAACACCCAAGTCTTATTTGAGGGGAAATACTGTCTATGTTTTCTCTTCTAAATAAGAATTCATTTTGTCTGTATGCCCAAAACCTTTTCAGGATTGCAGTACCGTATAGTCTACTGGGAACACTTGCAAACAGATAACTAGGAAAAGGGCACCAGCTGCTTCAAAAATACCTGCTAAACTACAGAAAAAGTTATAACTAACATCTGCCTCTAACTAGGAGTAAAGTAATCAAACAAAATAATTTTCTTTACAACCTACACTTTATTGATTTTATAGCAGGAAATTAGAATGGAGAAGATTAAAAACTTAAAGACATTGAACTGTCCCAGTATAACTTTTCAACTTGAATGAATTCAGAAATCTGAAAATCTAATGAATTTAAGTTATATTCTGGAAATTCCAAATTGCTTTAGAACTGGATTTAGTCCATGTCTTTCAATATATCAGTGTGTTGTGGTTTCACAGACCTACAACAACACACAGAAATATTTGATATTTACAGGTTGCTATTTATAGATTTTCTTCTTGTTATTTAGTTTGAAAGTACATATGTATTGGTTATTGGTCATCAGTAATAATTTCTTGAGTTCATGATTGATGCAAAGCATTGTACTAGGAGTTATGGTGGATACACAGAGGTTTAGAACTATGATCCTGGCTTTAAGAAGCTTGCTATCCAGTTAGGTAGGACTGATGGGAGTTCCCTCCTTCACCATTTGCACATTTTGTGACACGAATCAAGTTAAATTATGCCTCTGAGTTTCAGTTTCCTTTTCAGACTATTTATTTTGATGATTACATGAGTTAGCACACAGAAAATGTATAGTGGTTTTTGTGATATACTTTAGGTAATCGGTAAATTCTTAGCTCAAGAAATGCTTATATAAACTGTCCCTTCAATTAATTTCTCACATTGATAGCTGACTTTTGTTGTTTTATCTGGGAACCCTTCACATAAACATCATATAAATCCTGGCACATCACGTCAACCCTGACAGCAAGAGGTTTAGAGAGGACGTGTTTAAATTTGATCCAGTGGTGCAAATATCAAAGTGGTTAAGTAAACATAGGTTGCTTCATTTTGCATTCTCAATAAGGTCTCACGTTCTTGGTAAATTTCAGAGTTATATGAAAATAAGCATATAATTTTGGTAAATTTTAAATGTACCAGGGAATCAGTGTATAAAGGGATCTCAATTATTAAGCCATCGGTACAATATCATGTTTTGTTACACAGCTTTCATGATTTCTTCCGCTAAATGTTTTGCTTGTTCCTTCAAGTCTTTACGTATTATACAAGAAGTTCAAACAAAATATTTTTCTTATAGGGACCTCTTTCTTCTAAACTTATACGTTTTTAACAGAAATTTTTCTGAGTAAAATGTACTTTGTTCTTTCCAGAGTAGATTGTATTAAATTATTAAACATAGATGAATCAGAAAACTTAATCACTGTGTTGTGGATGGGTAGGATATTTGATAATAATTCTCAGGTTTGCTTATACTTAATAGTCATCTGGGAGCTGTTAAGAAATGTACAAATTACTATTTCCCCCTGGCAAATGAATGAAAATCTCAAGTGTTGACCAGCAGCCCCTAACCTGAGCATGAAGAACCTGTTTTTAAAAGCACTGGCCTCCTCAGTACATCCTTTGAGCTCCATCCTTTGAGTCTCCAGTTGTCTGTGACTAACTCCTTCCCCTACTCTTTTGAGTTGTGGGTTCAGTGTATTTGGAAAGCTTATACTCTGAGCTTCAGATCTCATGTAGAGAAGCATAAAAGTCAACGGGATTTATAAGTTACTTCCCTAAATTTAAAGATAAGATGATCAATCATATATATAAATGGCCTCCCCACCAAATTCTTTCCTCTGCCCTCCCTCCTGTCCTCCCTTCCTTCCTTCCTCCTTTCCTTTCCTCCCCTCATTTTGTTGTATTGCTTTATTTTTTGTTTTGTTTTTGTTGTCTTTTTTGAAAGCCTGGTGTATTAAAGTTATCATTTGACTACTATAAAATACACCCTTTTGGGGGTACAGTGTAGTAGATTTTGTAAATATCAACATGAACAAAAACATGTAAATATCAACACAATCAAAAACAACATTTTCATCATGTCAAAAACTTTACTACTGCCTCTTTTACCTCTTTCCCACCACTCCCAGTTCCTGCAGACCACTGGTCTGTTTATTTTCCCTATGGTTTTGACTTTTCCAAAATGTCATATAAGTATCATAAAATTCCTTGTGTAATGCTTATGTATACGTCATATAAGTTACTTGTATAATATCATGTAAGTGTCATGAATATTTTGAATCTGGTTTCTGTCACTTAATGTAATACATTAGACATTCATCCATATTGCTCTATGTTTCAGTACTTGTTTTTTTTTTCATGGCTGAAACGTATTACATTTTGTATCCGTACTTCAATTTGTTCATTCTCCATTTGAAGTACTTTTAGCTTGTTTGCAACTTTTGCTGATTATGACTTAAACTGTTCATGTACAGGTATTTATTTGAACATATATTTTTGTTTTCCTAGGGTAAATAGGAATGGAATTGCTACATTATATAGTAAATATGTACTTATCTTTGTAAGAAACTGGCAAACTGTTTTCCAAAATGAATGGAGCATTTTGTATTTCCACCAGCAATGTATGAGTATTCCACTTACCCTATATTTTTGTCAGCACATAATATTGTCGGTTTAAAAATTTTTAAACATTTTACTTAGTTGTGTAGTAGTATCTCATTATGGTTTTGGTTTGCATTTCCTTAATGACTAATAATGTTGAGCAGCTTTTTGTGTCCTTACTTGTCATTCTTCTTTGGTGAGATTTCTGCTTAAATAATTTGTCAAGTTTTTAATTGAGTAATTTGTTTTCCTGTTAATGAATTTTGAGACTTCTTTGTGTAGTCTGAATACAGTCCGTTTTCAGATATGTGTTTGTAATATTTTCTCCCATTTTGTGACTTGTTTTTTCACAAAATGTCTTCAGTGGAGCAAATGTATTAGTACCCTTGAAGTTCATTCTATAAACAAAAAAAAAAACTCGATTATGCTTTTTGGTCATATGTAAGCAATTTTTGCCTCACGCGAGGTTATTAAGATTTTCTTCGTAATTTTCTTCTGTAAATTTTAAAGTTGGAGCTCTTACATTTAGGTATATAATCCATTTATAATTGGTTTTTATATATGGTGAAATGTAAGGGTCAAGGTTTTTGTTTGTTTTTGCATATAGCTGTCCAGTTGTTCAGGCATCATTTATCAAAAAGATTTCTCTCTACATTGATTTGTTTTTGCATGTTTGTTAAACGTTTGTTAAAAATCAGTTGATCATATACATACAGGTGAGCTTATTTTTGATTCCCTGCATGTCTATTCTTTGCCATGCTGTCTGGATTACTGAAGCTTTATAGTAAGTCTTGAAAACAGGTGTTAGTATTTGGTTATTCTATGTCTTCGATTTTCCATATGAATCGTGTTGTTTTCTACAAAATTTTCTGCTGAGATTTTAACTGGGATTCCATTGAATCTATAGATTATTTGATGAGGATTTAAATCTTAATATCAAACCCTCCAAACCACAAAGATTATATACTTCTTCATTTATTTTTCTTTGATTTTTTTCATGATTAATTTGTAATTTTTAGGATATGTTTTACGACTGTTGTGTTAAATTTATACCTATGTATTTCATGTTTATGTTTTCTGGTATTATTTTAAAACTCTTTCAAATTCAACCTCTAATTGTTCATTAAGTATAGAGAAATACAAGGGGGTGTCAGTTGCTTGTCAGAAGGCAAATCCTACAAGATGGAGTCATATATAACATAAAATAATCATGGGAGTGACAGCCTCTGCCATATTCTTCTGTTGGCTAGAAACAAGTCACAGGTCCCACTATGCTTGAGGGGAAAGGATTAAACTAGGGCATGAACACCAGGAGGCAGGCATCTGGGATTATTTGGGCTTACCTTAGGGTCTGTCTGCCACTTAAAATCTTACTTTGCACATTTACATTTCCAAACCATCTAAAACTGATACTTACTGATAATATGAAGTAAGATAAAGATTTAAATTCCATTTTTAAATATAGATAATCAGTTAACTCTAGCCCCATTTTGACCCATTTTTAAGACTCAATTTCATCCCTGTTAGAAATCAGGTATGTATAAGTATGCCTCTGGTATATCATCTGAAGTGCGGTTTCAAAGTGTTGTAGCCTAAAATTATTTAATTGGTATTACAAACAGTCTTGGCTGAGATTGTAGGATCTAACTTCTGATAAACAGCTGCACTTCTAATCATGGCAATAAAACTGAAGCTAAAGAGTCTCTGTTAAATTCTGTTGAATCCAACAATGAAAATGTCATTTTTAGTTTCTTGGCTGATATTTATGGTAATAATTGGTTTCAGCTCTGAGTTGAACCTTTAAATTACTTTTACTAGTTTGCTCAAAGTCTTTGCAAAGGATAAAATATTTGGGCACTTATACGGTCAAGTCCATAAAATATTACAGATGTTGAATCAAGGGTAATTATTTAATTTAAATTTGTTATAGTTCATATGAGTTTAAACTTTCCAAACTGATTAAATAGTGCAAGAATGCCATTTTAAATGTACATCTCCTTAAACAAGAGAATTTCATTATTAGAATCCTCAATGGGAATTTTTGGAAGACATTATTTCCATCCGCATTATATCTAACAATTTAATATAATGACATACCATGAGCATGTGTATGAATGTAACTATTGACATAGCACCCTAAAGAAGATGTTTCAGAATGACATCTGACATGTTGAGTTATTGTTAAGAGTGTGCTGGTGAAAACCCAGATGTACAATCTGGATGGTTTGTCAGTAGAGCTTGTTATGATTGTGCAGCCCAAGTTTTGTTTCTCTTTTAAAATCCCCCATTGAGAACTTTGTGTTTTTTCTTCAGTCTTCCTAAACATTCAGCTTTTGCTCAAATCATACCTCTCCTGGGAATTAGGAGGGCATCTTACCCTCCCAAGAAGAGGGTATGCCTCTCTGACTCCCATTATATCTGAAATTCTTGTTAAACATGGTATTGCTATTGTTTGTTTTTTCTCTCCTGTGTTGTGTCTTCAAGACCAGTAATAACATCTTATTTATCATTTTACCATCAGGCTGTGAAGTATATTTCTAAGGTCCATCTGTATTTAGCTGACATTTGTTTTTGTTATGCTTCTTAGACTTTTCTGTATGAGAAGTTTTAGGAATTGACACTTACAGGCATATTGAGTATTGTCAGTATTTTATACAGTGTAAATGAGCTGGGCATGGTGGCTCACACCTGTAATCCTAGCACTTTGGGAGGCCAAGGCAGGAGGATCACTTGGGCCTAGGAGTTCAAGGCCAGCCTGGGCAACATAGTGAGACCCCATTTCTAAACATATTTTTTAAAATTAAAAAAATTAGCCAGACATGGTACTGCATGCCTGTAGTCCTAGGTACTCTGGAGGCTTATGTGGGAGGTTCACTTGAGTCCAGGAGTTTGAGATTGCAGTGAGCCGATGATCATGCTACTGCATTCCAGCCTGGGCAGCAGAACGAGACCCTGTCTTTAAATTAATAAACGATTAAATGAGTGAATGGATGGTGTAAATGCATTCAGTTAAGTAACATAAAAATATATGAATAATAAATTGCAATGTCTAATTAATTTAGGTGGGATTTCTTACTGCTTTCTTCATATGTAATACAATTTGGCTCAGTTTCATTGTAGAAAATAAGTAACTTGATTTTCACAAAATCTAACAATCTCACTTCTTTCACAGATTTAATATTAGGTTACTCTTTTGAGGTGCTTTGTTACTAAGACTTAATTTCCTCTACTCAGATCATCTGATTCAAAATATATTTTTATCGTAAAGCATTAAAACACATGACTCTTCAGTAAAGAGAAAATAACAGTGTCCATGTACTGTCTTTCATATCTCTTAATAAAATTTAGTAATTTTTCAGTGCACTTTCAAGAGGGGGTACAAATTAGAAATTTGGTGTTTGTAAAGATGTAGGACTCTATATTACAGAATGAAAAAGAGGGTTAGTCAGTTATTTTGTATTACTACAAAAGCATTAGGTATTTCTATTTATAAAGAAATATTGTTGTTTTAATACATGAAGTCAATACAGAATAGGCCTTTCTCCTTTTGTTTATTTTATCTAAACAGAAAAGATTTCTGTAGGGCTGATGATAAAATTTATCTATTACCAAAAAATAATATTAAAAATGTAACATCTACATTTATAATATAAAATAGAAAGTGAAAATGTCTTTATAGTCCCAACTTTAGCAGAATTCTTTGATATATATCTTTCCAGAATGTTTTTGTATTAATATATTTAATTAGCTACTATTTTGTGGCATACTTTTTTTCTCTTTTAGACACATTTTTCTATAAGCAAATATGTCTTCATTCTTATCTACCGTGATTCATGGAGAATGTGTCATGAATTACTTACTCCAATACCCTATTTGTAGATATTCAGCTTGTGTCTGTTTTTTTCTTATTGTAAATGATGTTAAAGCAAGCATCTTTGTGCTTATTTATCTATCTGACATTCTTATTCAGTTATTTCGCTTGGATACTTTTTTGTCTAGGAGTTAGGTTAAATGATGTATGCACATTTGTAATATGAATTGGATATAAGCAATATATTTGAAGATATAAACATTACCAAGAGCAATAAATTTTTAATAAATCTTCAACACTCAGATTAATAAAATTGTATCTTATTCTATTTTGCATTTATTTATTAGGGAAGTCAGTATTTTCATTGACTGTATTTTCATATTTAGTTTTATAAATTATGTTACTTGGTTAAAAATCAGTTTTAGGAATCAAAAAATTTACCTTAAAAATAAAAGTGTAAAGTAATGAAATTAATAAGTTTTACAAGCCTTTAACTTGGACTTTTAATTTAGACTTTGGTGTCAGATACCTGAGTTTCAATCTTTGCTCTGCAATTTACTAGCCATTTATCCTGGTTAAGTTCTTTAAACTCACCATGCCCTACTTCCCCCCTCTTTAAAAGAAGGACGATAAAAAGACCTACCGCATAAATTTTCTTTGGATGCTAAGTGAAATAATGCACTTAAAGCATTTAAAACAAAACCTCATATGTAGTACGTGCTCAGTAAAAATGGTTGCTAAATAGATTAGTGAACAGTTTACTTGCCAAATTAAATAAGGAATATATTATCTTATGTATTTACCTTTAATTTAAGAGCATTAGAAATCACATTGTAGTTTTTGTGTTCAGTTAGTCTACTGACTTGTCACAAATTATGTAGTTTGGGATTGGTGTATTTAGTGAAGTAGTATGTAAGATCTTCTCTGGTTTCTTTAAACGTTACAATGTGGAGGTATGTGGAAAGAAAGTCATAGTTGGAGCTCATGAAATGGGTTTCTGGTAGTCTAGATTCATCTGCTGCAATGTGAGCTCTTGAGGACAGACCACGTCCTCAAAGCCTGACACTTGGTAGGCAGCGTTTAGTACATGATGGAGGAGTAGGAGGATACATTTTAGATAACAGCAAGATGTGATTTAGGCTTGCAGTTAATAACAGATCTGGTCCTCTGGTGAAGCCATTGAGGTTTAGATGAGACCACGGGTCTGATGTCACAAATATTGGAGGTAGAAAGAACACTTGCTGTTTTCTTCTGTGTCTAAACTTTTAATTGGGAAGTCCTTTGAGGAACTAGCCATGTTAAGACCAAAAAAGAGAACGCTGGGAAGAACACTGAGTAGGGGACATATGGTGTAGAATAATTTGAAGGGGCATGAGAAGAGTAATTTAACTTACTATTTTGTTTCTAAAGGGTAGAATTCAAGGAATAATGAGAAGAACTTAATATGAAATATTTATATAATACATGAGAGCTCATTTAGGCTTTTCCACTAAATCAGACATGTTTTTAGTTTTTCCATTTCTTAAAAGATGTCAGTCATATTTCTTTTTTTTTTTGGCATAGGTATTATCATATGGTTTCAAAAACTAGCAACCTTTACATACTGAGAAGCCTTTTATTTGTGTCTTTTATCTTCCCAGGTCCCTGACTTCTTTCATTAATAAGCAGTGTATTTAATTTTATGTATTCTTTCAGAATTTCTGCAAGCAAATATAAATAATTATTTCCTGCCCTCCTCAAATTTGGACAATAAAATAGCATATTATAATACTATTCTGCAGCTTGCTTTTTTTTGGCCATAAAAAGATCTTTTCATCTCAGAAAACAGAAAACTTTCTTATTCTGTTTATGGAGGCATAGAATTTCATTGTATGGATATGCCATAATTTATTCCAGTGGTACACTATTGAGGAAATTCGGATTGTTTCTAATTTTTGGTATTACAAATAATTTGTGATAAATAATCTTATGCATACACAATTTTGCACATGTGTAAGTATATTTTTGGATACATTTTTAAAAAGTGAAATTGCTAGATAGGCCGAAGGTAATAGGCATTGATTTGTGAGCGAAATATTTTTGTGTTCCCAAAATGAAGCAGGATCATATTTTGAAAGAATGCATTTGTGTTCACTAGAAAGTATTTATTTGTGGCATTGGATTTCAAACTTTTTTTATTGCACTCATCTAAAAAATATTTTACATTGTAATCAATATACTCAAACACAATTAAAACAAAATTTTCATGAAACTGTTTTATCCTTATCACATGTGATGCATTAGTATTTCCTTTTTCTTTTCTATTCTTTAAAAGCACCGATAACAATCCACTAAATTAATTTCATAACTCACTAGTAAGGCATAACCTTCTTTGTGAAATACACTGATCTAGAGTTTAGTTGACCAACTCTGTTATGTATAGTAGAGGAGGAACCCTAGTTGGACTATACAGTCTCCCAAGAATTCCCTATAATTCTTTTGCAGGTCAAACAAACAAATAAGCCTGGGTTTTAGTAATTTTTATAAAGTCTCTTAGAAATAATATTTTGTTACCTCTGGACCTAGAAGGATGATATTTTAAAATAATAGCATATGTTGGTATAATATATATAGAGAGATATAAATATATAAAAATATAGATATGTAAATTGGGATTGGGTATAAACAGTCAATCAGTTTCTTAGGGATAAGTAGAAAAGATAGAATGTTACATATTTCTTATGTAATACATAATTTGTATTCTTAATGTGGGAAATTCCATGATATGCTAAATGTCTGGTTATGTTTAGAGTTTTTAGTGCTTAGTGTCAGGAAGATTAAAAAATATATTAAAAGTATGTTTTGAAACTACCTTTTTTGGTTTTAAGAACAAATGTACTGGCCGGGCGCGGTGGCTCACACCTGTAATCCCAGCCCTTTGGGAGGCCGAGGCAGGTAGATCACGAGGTCAGGAGATTGAGACCTTCCTGGCTAACATGGTGAAACCGTGTCTCTACTAAAAAAAAAAAAAAAAAAATTAGCCAGGCGTGGTGGCACCCACCTGTAGTCCCAGCTACTCAGGAGGCTGAGGCAGGAGAATCGCTTGAACCCGGGAGGCGGAGGGCGCAGTGAGCCAAGATCGCACCACTGCATTCCAGCCTGGGCAACAGAGCAAGACTCTGTCTTAAAAACAAAACAAAACGAAACAAAAAAACAAGTGTACCACGAGCAGTTGCAATCCAAGCTAACTTGGTGTTTTACAGGCGGCAACTTCAGTGAATAACTATAGAAAAAAATTATTTGACTAATATTTATAATATATGATAAAAAACACTTGTGGAACTTAATAAATAATGTGAGTAGAACAATTTATTCTTAACATGGAGCATCTTAACTCTTAGTTGATTTATAAACATTCATCAACAATGCAGTTCATAGTTGATAATTATGATTTAATCAAAATGACTCAGCTGAAGCAAGCACAGAGGAAAAAAACAACATCACTGAGTATTTGCTTTACACCATTTACTGTGCTAGGAATTAGAGAGATGAAGTTGAAAATCATAATTTCTGCCTCATAGTAGTCATATTTTAAAGGAAAATACTTCTTATATTTCTTGTTTAGCACTTTAGGGAATACAAGTGATTTCATTTGATCAGGTGATGTATTTGTAAAGTATTTGTCAACCTTTAATAAAGATGAGTAATGAGGCTTAGGTTGGGACACTAATGTAATATGTGGTTGACATTTCAACCTCACTGTTTTATACCTTGGGTTGGAATATAGAAATAAGTATGAGTGATTGAGTCAATTTTGGAAAAGAACATTAATTCCATTGTTTAACACATTCAACAAATGGTTACTTGTTTCCTTGTTTTTATGCTTACCAAGGATAACTATAGAGAATAAGACATCAAGAGAAAGACTAATGTCCTTTCTCTTTCCTAAAGACTCCTTAATATGTAGTTTTTTATTTTCTTTTTAAGTCAGGACCTTGCCTTGTCACCCAGGCCAGAGTGTGGTGGCATGATCATGGCTCACTGCAGCCTCAAACTCCTGGCCTCAAGCAATCCTTCCATTTTAGCCTCCCAAGTTGTGAGATTGCTGGCATGAGTCACTGTACCTGGCAATATATTTTATCTGAATTTCATGAACCTCATATTATGGCAGGGTCTTTTCGACCACATTAAGGATTTTTGAATGTTGCCCTAAGAGATTTTCCCTGAATGTAATCTGCTGTGTTAGGACAGTTTATTTATCAATTTATGAGCATTATATAAGTTAGCTGGGCACTCTCCAGAGCTGCACTGTTTGACATAGTAGCCATTAACCACATCTGGGTGTTTAGCAATTAAAATATGGCTAGTCTAGATTGCAATGTGCTTTAAGTGTAACATACACTAATTTTACAATTTCATATTAAGATGATATTTTAGATACATTGAGTTAAATAAAATTCATTATAGAATTAATTTCACATGTTTTTGTGTGTTTCTAATGTTCCTGCTAGAAGATGTAAGTATATATTATATGACTTTTAATATACTTCCATTGGACAGTGATGAATTAGACTGGGAATATTTAAAATGTTTTTAAATATTTTTCAGTTGTTTATTTTCAACTTCTAGGATTAATTTGTTTGTTTCTTAATATGTAGTCCTCACCTTTAAGATTTCTCTATGATTAGGGTAGCTGATATTTTGTCTTCTATTGTTCTTAGTAGAGTATGAAAGATTATGGTCTAAGCCTTGATTTCTAAGTTGTTTATTTACAACTCAAATGCATTTTTCTATGGAAACAAACTGGTCAGATAAAGATACTTGCCCTAGTATGTTAACATAGTTTACCTGAAATTAACATATCCATAAACCTACCTGTCCCAAGGTCTCTAAGGCCTAAATTGAAGTCCTGAGCTTTCTACACTTGTTTATCTGAATCTATTACTGAGAGATCCCCTGAAACTTAAAAAGGATGAGAATTTTAGGGCAAAAGGTGGCTCACTCATGTAAAATATGAATCAGTTTCTGTTATCTGAAAGCTTTTTCACCTATAAATTAGGTTTATCCTCAGAGAGATGAAAAGGGGACTCCATGATAACAATAGAGGAGTGGAGCCAGCCAGCAGTATTTTCTTCCAGTTTTTTAATGTGGTCTTTTAAAATATGGTTGTAAGCACAGTACAAATATAATTTTGGAGCCAGGCATGCTGGCACATGAGGGGAATCCCAGCAACTTGGGAGGCTGAGGCAGGAGGATCACATGAGCCTAGGAGTTTGAGACCAACTTCAGCAACATAGCGAGACTCCATCTCAAAAAATAAAATAAAATATAATTTTGTATTTTTTTCACTTAATGTATATAGGATTTTTTTCATGTTGCTTCATATTCTCCTTGATTACTATTTTAATGAATGCATATTATTTCATTGAATAGGTATATCATAATTTACTTAACTGTTCCTCTAATTTGAGAAATCACTTGGTAATTAGGAAAGCTGAAAGCTTATCATAGCTGTATATCTTGCAATGTTCATCTTTTATGTTGATCTTTTAAAATTACCTTAAAGATTTTTATCTACATAATTACTAATTATATATTTATGTTAATGTGGTAAAATGTGTATGATTCTTTTGCCCAAGTAATCATATGAATTGTTGAAGTAAAATAATCAGAATATATTAAACTTAACTTTTAGTTCAATTTCATATTTATTGAATAGCCAAACGTTTCTCAAATATGTGAGATCTATGATATTATATTGGATATGGTTTACTCTTCCTAAGCAAGACTTTGATTACATTTGGAACACCAAGTTATTCAATTTTTAGAGGCTGTTGCATGATTAGATTTTAAATATTAAAAAATCTGCATTGTTGTATGTCACGTAGCCTTTCAATAATAAAATTTGTTTATTAAGTTATGTTAACTATCAAAAGTATTTTTATTAAGATGATTGAAGTTTAATCTTGTGACTAGTTACTTATAACAATGCTTATCTAGTGTAAGTAGTATATTACAAAATTCCATTGACCACAAATACAGTTGATAAACCCTAATTGACAAAAAGAAGATTTCTAACAACTAAAATAGAGGTGTAGTATTATTATATAAAACCTTATATACTTTATTCCTCGAAGAATCCACTAAACTGTTACCTAGTGTCCGTTAACTTCTTATTTTAGACAGAATTTAGAAAGATTACTAGAATGCAAACTTTTGAAATTTGAGTCTGCTGCTACTATATAATTTTGGAAGAATCACTACCTTTCTGAAAATTAATTTTTAAAAATCCTTGACCTTTCCATGACTTTCAAATTCTGATGTAATTGCCTGTTTGAAATCTCTACTTAGATGTATAATAGGTACTTCAAATGGAGTGTTTATTTTTCTCTCTCAGTCTGTCATCTTAATCTTCCTCATATCCTAAAAACTATTTTTCACTCAAGAAAAACGTCATCTTTGATTTATCTCTCTTTTTTTTTTTCCACCATCTTACATTTAAGTCATCATCAGATCCATTGGCTGTACCTCGAAGAGATAGCCTGGGTTCTGCTACTTCTCTCCATTTCCTCTGCTGACACTCCAGTATAAACCAGCATCACCTTTCACTTGTATTACTGCCATAGTTTTATGCTACTTCTCAGTCTTTTTTCCACATGGTAGCCAGAGACAGCTTTAAAAATTACAAATCATATTATATTATTCTTCTACTTAAAATCCTGCAGAGATTTTAATTGTGTTGAGAACAAAAATCCAACGTCTTTGCTATGACCTACCTACAATTCCTGTCTTTCTTTCCCATCTCATGTGTGACCTCTTACTCAGCCACTCTAATCTCTGTACAGTTCCTTCAACATTTCAACTTAGTCCTGATTTAGTGGTCTGCTTCTGGATCTTCATTTTGCCTAGAATGTACTGAGGTTTCAAATTTTTTCGTGGCCTGGTTCTTGTCATTTTATTCTCAACTCAGATCACCTCTCTTGAGGCACCTTTCTAGAAACCTAATTTAAGGTAACTGTTATGTCTCACTCCCCATTACACCATCTATTAAAATGTATTCATAGGAGCATTTGAAACAATTTTTAAATTAGTAAACATGTTGATTTTTTTTTGTCTTCCACCCTAATTAGAATGTAAGCTACATGACAGCAGAGACTTTGTCTACCTTATTGAGTGTTTGAACAGTTTAAGCCACATAGAGGAGATATTCAAGAACTATTTGCCAAATAAATGAATGATTCCACCTATAAATGAAAGATCAGAGTTTTTTTAAAACGTATCCTGTTAGGAAAGCCCAAAGTCATCTATTTTAGAGTAATTATCAAAAATAGTTTTATACACTCACACATACACACACATGTAAAGTAGTCAGTACTTGAAGACCTTTAAATGAAAAAATTTATCCAGTTATCTAAAAGAAAATCATCTGATCATCTAATGAATACTCAAGTATGTTAAATAAGGTATTCATGTAAATTGTTTGATTTTTAATCTCGTGACTTACGTAGATTATGGCATGGAGCCAGGTTTGTGAGGAATATTAGAGTGGTGGGATTCCAGAATATAAAACTTGGACGGAGTGTGTGGAGTGGCTATCATCACTAATTCTGAAATTTTGAGCCTAAGCCACATTTTATAGGGAGCCGAAGAAAAACTGTGAAAATTATGTAATGTATGTCCTTGGTATCTATATGATTTATCATAAATATATGCTGAAATTTTAATGTCTATGGTTTGATTATCTTAAACTTAAGCTTATGATATTTACACTAGTTTGGGAGGGACAGCATGTTCTTGGGTTCATCCTAGATACTTAGTTAATGCTTTCTAATTAACTGACAAAATAAATATATATGATTATTATAAAAAATGAGGTATGTTTACTGTATATTTTTGTTCTTCCAGCTAAATACTATCATCCAGTTTACTTTTAAAAATAGAGTGCGCACTCACGAGTAGCCTGTATTACCAGTATTTAATAAATGGATATCCAAAACATACACTTTCTATGGAATTTCATAAATAAGTCATCTTATTTCAGTAGTCTAGTGAGTCCCAAATATGTAAGATAAGCATATGTAAGATCAGTAGTCTGGCGTATGTATGTAAGATCAGTAGTCTGGTGAGTCCCAAATATGTATAAAGTGGATGTAGAATGAAGCTTGTAACACTTAAAATGTTTCTGGTCTGCTAATTATGATATGTTTTGAAAATGCTTAGTAGTTAGAACCAGTTAAAAGGGAAAATGGTATATACTTAGAATGACTATCTGGATTAAACATAAAGCACTTAAGATAAATGATCATGAGACTCTCAGTTTTCTGTTTAAAAGGAAATGCTGATTTGCTAAGAAATAATTTCAGTTTAACTTTATGTATTCATTAATGTATAAAATCAATATGAAATGTTTTAAGTTAGAAGAATGTCAAATATTTGGAAGCAAAGATTATTAGCTGCATTTAATTAGGTATTGTGTGTGCAGGAAATATAAATAAAACAATAAATATTATTAGCATGTAGTTCTAAAGTTGAGTAAAATAGAGTTTTGATATAACCCACATTATTCTTCTTCTTTAATCATTTGTTTTCTTAACTTAAAGCATTTGTTAATATAATTTGAATATTATTCAAATATAAGAAATCTATGCATAATGGATGTTAATTATTTCATGTTCCAATAGCTTACAAACACAATTCACAATATCAAGTATACTGAGCCCTCTAGTGATTTTTTTTTTAACTGCTGTCACAATTGCTGTCTGAGCACATTCCTTTTATTTTTACCAACAAGTTTATTGGTGAAAATTATTTCGTTCATTTTCCTTAATTTGAAATGAGAAATAAAAAGAAACTTTATAGGGAGTGGTATAAAACGTGGGCTGTTTTAAATATGTTAGGAAGTTTTGGAGGGTTTTTCTTTTTTAACTTGCTGTTTCTATTCAGCATGTTCTGTTGATAGTGATGTATATATATGCAATAATATTATAAAGATTTTTTTGAGATGTTTATTTTGAAATAAATGTAGAGGATACTTACCGAACAAGATAAATCATCATATTTTAAACAGTAAATTTAGTGGTAATTTGTATTTGAGCTAGGACAAACTGAGTTTAGGTCCCGTCTCGGCCACAATTTATTAGCAGGGTAGACTTGGGTAAGTTATTTAACCTCTCTAGGCCTCAGTTCCCTCTGATAATTTCTTCATATAGTCTCTAAAATATCTTTTAGAGATGTTTCCAGAGGAGTCTTGATAATTTCTTTTCTTTATATTGAATTTTTCTTTCATAATTTAAATCTAAGCCTTCTTATTCTCAGAAGATAAATTTATTATTTCTATGGTTTTAGACTTTTTAAATTATATTCCAAATAGAACTATAACATGCTTTTTCCTTGCTTAAAAGAGACCTTGAATAGTAACCGTGTCGCTTTTGGTCACAGTTACATCCCTAGTGGCTGAAAAAGTCCCTGGCTATTTCATTCAGTAATTTGATGCTCATTTAGTAACTTGGTAAATGAGTGAAGAAAAGGTCAGCTCCTTCAGTGTAGCATATGTGATTTTTTGTAGTCTGCTCTTGGCCTACTTTTCCATCTTCATCATCTTTGCTACTCCTTTTCACCAGCCCTAAGTGTTTTTCTAATATCCTGTTTCTTGTACCTAATATGGCATGCTTAGTGACTGTCTCTCCCTCACATACCTTAGCATATAGTTCATATCCTTATAGAAACCTAAATGATGTAATCTAATTTTAAACATGCCTTTTTCTTCCTTTAAACGACAAACTAGGGCCAGGTGTGGTAGCTCACAACTGTTATCTCAGTGCTTTGGGAAGCTGAGGTGGGAGGATAACTTGAGCCCAGGAGTTCAAAGACCAGTCTGAGCAAGACCAGCAAGACCTTGTCTCTACTAAAAATAAGAAAGTTAGGGCCGGGTGCAGTGGCTCACGCCTGTAATCCCAGCACTCTGGGAGGCCAAGCTGGGTGGATCACGAGGTCAGAAAATCGAGACCATCCTGGCTAACATGCTGAAACCCTGTCTCTACTAAAAATACAAAAAATTAGCCAGGCGTGGTGATGGGCGCCTGTAGTATCAGCTACTCAGGAGACTGAGGCAGGAGAATTGCTTGAACCTGGGAGGCGGAGGTTGCCGTGAGCCAAGATAGTGCCATTGCACTCCAGACTAGGCAACAGAGTGAGAGTGCATCTCCGAAAAAAAAAAGTTAGTCAGGTGTGGTGACATGCACGTGTCATGACATGTACGTGTCATGTACATGCACATGTCTGAGTACATGCACGTGACATGTACTCAGAAGGTTGAGGCAGGAGGATTGCTTGTCCCCAGAAGTTTGAGGTTGCAGTGAGCTATGATTGCTCCACTGCGCTTCAGCCTGGGCAACAGAGCAAGACGCTATCTCAGAAATCATCAGCAAAACCCAGAAACTAGTCAGTTTTAAGGATCATTTTAAAAATTGTCTGACTTTTGTTATGAAAACAAATATTTGTATTGACAGAACTTAGTACAATAACAATCAGTAAATGAATGTTGAATCGATTAGAATGTTATAAACCTCTATATATGTAATAGGTTTTGTTTGTTAGTATATTCTTCTGATTATTTATTTCTTGAACTATAACCTTCAAAAACAAAGAAATAGGTTTTTTACTGAAAGTTGAATATAGGGCTTTTGCTAAAATGCTACATATTTTGGCTAGATTCAATTTAGTATTTCTTTGGAGGACATTATGTATGCAGTGTATATCTATCTTTAAACTTTTCCCCTCATTTAATTATAGTTCTTTTTCCAAGTAGCCAGCATAAAATCATTCAATAAAAATGTATTTAGTAGCCTATTATGTTCCTGGCAATTGATTAGGTACTGGAGTAATACAAAGAGTAATAAAAAACAGAATCCTTAGTTTCAATCTAATGGGTCAGAAATACATATAAAAGACTCATTTCAATATTTGTGGTTAAGGGTCATAATAATAATACATAAAGAGGGTTGTCTGAGTGTCTAGTTGTTGAGAGAAGCTACGGTAGTTCCTTAAATCTTCTAAAATATGCTGAAGCACAAAGAAGTAAAGATAACAATTGTTTAGGGAATTGGAGAGAACCAGAAATTGCTTTTGAGCTTAAACTTGAATGGTAATGAAGAGTCAATGAGAAGTCTTGGAACATTTTGTAAGCTGGAATGTGACATGATCAGATTTGTAGTTTAGGAATAGTATACTCTGTTTCTTGTCATAAGTCTATAAAAACTGGAAATAGCTGCATTCATTCATAGCACTATTTTAGGAAACCTCGTATAAAAATGAAATGATATATGATAGTAATAATAATAGCTACCATTAATTTATTTCAACATATTTAACAAGTACCATCTCTGTGTATGGTTTATAGTATATGATTTATAAATATTATCTAATTAAAGACTCAGCTTTTGAAGTTATATGACTTCAAATACTAGCTCTACCATTTATAGTTGTGTGAACTTAAACAAGCTTTCTCAAGTTTCAGTTTCCTCATCTATAAAATATTCTGGTATGGCTATAGAAATAATTAGGATATTTTATGTAAAGGACTCCTGTGCTTAGCCCATAGTAAGCACTCCATAATTGTTAGCTATTTTAAAATTAATTTTTGTAACTTCCTTGTGTTAAAAAGATAACACCTTTACCTTGCAATATTACCTTGCAGATGAGGAAATTGAATTTAGAGATCTTAAGTTACCTGCGGGTCATACTTGCAGTATTACCTTGCAGAGGAGAAAATAAAATTTAGAGATCTTAGGTTTCTTAAAAGTTATATTGCAAGTAGTGGCAAAGCCAGTATTTTAACTTGGGTCTCTGACTGTAAGCCCAGTATCCTGAAAAATGTGCTGTACTGTCCTTCCGAGGCTAAGTGATCAGGAGAAATTGGTGAAGAAAGTATCAGTGGTACTCTCAGATGTTTAATTGGCCTGCCTAAGAGCTTCTAGGCCTAAGAGATACTACTGTGATCTCTTCTGAGTATATCTTTTGTCCAAATGAAAGCATAAGCAAATGTATAATAGATAAGTCTATGTTGTCTAACTCATCTATGTTGTTACATGTCTCAATAATTAATTCTTTTTTAATGCTGTGTAGTATTCCATTGTATCAATATATAACATTTTGTTTATCCATTTATCTGTCGATGGACATTTGAGTGGTTTTCCTGTTTTAGGCTATTACAGGTAAAGCTGCTATGAGCATTCATATTCATGTTTTTGTATGTACATGTACTTCTTTTTCTCTTGGGTAGAGCCTCAAAGGGGTATGTTAGGTGTATGTTGTTTAACTTTTAAAAACTTGCTAGATTGTTTTATTAAAGTTATTGTACATTTAGTTTAGGTGTATGTTTGTTTAACTTTTAAAAACTTGCTAGATTGGGCTAGGTGCGGTGGCTCATGCCTGTAATCCCAGCACTTTGGGAGGCTGAGGCGGGTGGATCACGAGGTCAGTAAATCTAGACCATCCTGGCTAACATGGTGAAACCCTATGCCTACTAAAAATACAAAAAAAATTAGCCATGCCTGGTGGCTGGCGCCTGTAGTCCCAGCTACTCCGGAGGCTGAGGCAGGAGAATGGTGTGAACCTGGGAGGCAGAGCTTGCAATGAGCCGAGATCATGCCTCTGCAACTCAGCCTGGGGGACAGAGCAAGAGACTCCATCTCAAAAAAAAAAAAAAAAAAAAAAAAAAAAACTTGCAGATTGTTTTATTAAAGTGATTGTACATGTAGTTTATCTGCTATCAGTATGTGTGAATTCTTTTTTCTCTACATCAACAATACTTGCAATTAAAAAAATTAAATTATTAAACATTTTGCCAATTTTTTAAATGTTAGCCATTTTAACAGGTGCATAGTTGTGATTTTAATTTTTATTTCCCTAATGACTAATGATGTTGAGCATTTTTATTTGTGCTTATTTGACATCTATATATTTTCTTTGGTGAAATGATTCTTTAAATCTTTACATACTCTTAAGATTAAATTGCTTGTTTTCTTTACTGTTGTGTTGAGTTTTTTTATTCTACGTATAAGCACTTTATCTGATATATGTATTGCAAAGATTTTTCTCCCATTCTATGGTTTATCTTTTTATTTTCTTAACAGTATCTTAAAGATAGTAGGTTTTCCATTTTGCTTAAGTCAAATTTACTGATTTGTTTATAGATTTTATTTTATTTAAGAAATCTTGGCATAACTCACATTCACAAAGAATTTCTTCCATGTTTTCTTCTACATGTTTTATACTGTCAGGCTTTACATTCAGGTAGTGATTTATTTTGAGTTAATTTTTGTATGTGACACAAGGTATGGTTTCAAGTCATTTTTTTAACGTGTATATCCATTTGTTCTAGCATCATTTATTGAAAATGCTGACCTTTGTCATCTACATTGCCTTTCAGCCCTTGTCAAAAATCAGTTGTCCAAATATGTGTGGATTTATTTCTGGATTTTGTATTCAGTTCCTTGATTTGTTTGTATTTATGTAAATACCTTGCTGTTTTGATTTCTCTAGTGTTTTAATAATTTTTGACATCAGGTAGTTTTAGCTCTCTAACATTGTTATTCTTTTTCAAAGTTGTTTTGTTCCTTCTAGGTCATGTGTGTTTCCATATGAATTTCAAAGTCAGCTTGTCAATTTCCATAGGAAACCCTGGTGGGATTTTGATTGGAATTGCATTGAATCTGTAGATGAGTTTGGGAAAAAAAAAAAAAAAAGACATCTTAAGAATTTTATCTTTCATTTAGCAAAATAGAATATTTTTCAGTGTACAGGTCTTTCCCATCTCTTTTCATATTTATCCTTAAGAAATTCATAACAGAGTGCTATTTTTACTGATTAAAAAAATTGCTTTCAGATATTTCATTGCCGGTATATAGAAATGTAATTTTTTAGTTGTTGATCTTGCATCCTGCAGCCTTCCTGAATTCACACATTAGCTTTAGGAGCTCTTTTGTAGATTCCATCCGATTTTTTACATAGATAATCAGGTCATCTCTAAATACAGGTATTTTTTTCTTCCTTTTTTATATTAATGACTTTATTTCTTTTTTTTTTCTTTTTCCCCTTTTCCAATTGCACTCCAGTACAATGTTAAGTGGATAGAGCCTTCAATACAATGTTAATTGGTGAGTGAGTGTAATACCCTTCCTATTCCTGGTTTTAGAGGAAAGCATTCAGTCTTACCCTGTTAATATGATAGGAACACCTGTAACGCTTTTGTAGATGCCTTCTATCAGGTTGAGGGATTCTCCTCTACTTCTAGTTTGCTAAGATTAAGACCAAAAAAATAATAAATGGATGTTCGATTTTGTCAAATGCTTTTTCTGCATTTATTAAGATGATCATGTAGTTTTTCTGTGATGTATTATGTCATTTATAATTTTTAAATTTATGCTTTGAGGAGTATTAGTCTGTGATTTTATTTTGTTTGGCTTTTATATTGGGGCAGTGCTAGCTTCTTAGAATGATTTGGGGAGTATTCCTTTTTTTACATTTTTTTTGAAATAGTTTAAAACTCCACTTAAAATTGATATTATTTCCATCTTAAATTTTAGGTGGAATTCATTCAAGAATCTTTCTGGCCCTGGAGGTTTTTTTGTGGAAATAATTTTAACCTCATTCTTAATTTCTTTACTAGATATTGGGTTAAGTTGTGTATTTGTTTTTGAGTGAGCTTTGGCAATTTGTGTTTTTTAAGAAAGTTGTCCATTTCATCTGAGTTGTCAGATTTACTGGCATATAGTTGTTCATTATATTTTCTTACTATTCTTTTAATATCTATATTATCTCTAGTGATGCCACTTTTCTCACTCTTGATATTGATAATTGGTGTCTTCTCTTATTTTTCCTGATCAGTCTGCCCAGAGGTTAATCAATTTTATTAATTTCAAAGAATCATCCTTTTCTGTTTTTTGTTTCATTGATCTTTATAATTATTTCCTTTATTCTGCTTTGGTTTTGATTTTCTTTTTCTAATTTTTCATTTTGGAGGATAAAGTTGTTCTTTTGAAACCTTTGTTTTTTTCTTTTTTAATTGATTATTTTTAAAAGTTTTATTTGTAATTGACAAATAATAAATAATGGTATGATGTGATATGTTAATGCATGTATATTCTGCGCAATGATCAAATCAGGGTAATTAGCATATCTGTCACTTTAAGTATTTATTATTTCTTTGTGATAATAACATTCAAAATCTTTTCTTCTAGCTATCTTGAAATATATATTATTATTTGTTATAGTCTTCTGTGTAATAAGACACCAGAACTTAATCTTCCTGTCTAACTATAACTTTGAACTCATTGACCAACCTTTCCCCATGCTTTTCTTCCCCCTGTCCTCTGTAGCTTCTGGTAACCACTATTATACTCTCTACTTCGATGAGATGAACATTTTCAGATTCCACATATGAGTGAGATCATGTGGTATCTTCTTTTTCAATATAGTAGTTAGTGCTACAAAATTTCCCCTAAGTATTGGTTTAGCAGTCTCTGCAAATTTTGACATAATAAATTTTTATTTCCCTTCAGTTAAGAATACTTAACTACTTTCTGTTTTGATTTCTTCTTTCATCAGTGGTAGAAAGTGTGCTATTTAAGGAGGTGTGCTATTTCATTTCAAATATTTAGATATTTTCCAAGTATCTTTCTAATAAGGGTACCTGATATAATTCCATTGCAGTCAGAGAATATGCTTTGTATGACTGTCTTCCTTTTTAATTTATTAAGACTTGTTTTTTGACCAAGAATATAGTATAACTTAAATGTTTCAAGAGCAGTGGAAGAGAATGTGTGTTCTACTATTATTAGATGAATAAGTGTCAATCAAGTCAAGTTGGTTTATAGTGCCATTCAAGTCTATGGTAGCCTTGCTGATTTTCATGCCTCCTTGTTCTATAGATTTTGAAGTGGTATTGAAATCTTTGATTGTAATTGTGGATTTGCCTATTTCCCTTTGCATGTCTTCAGTTTTTACTTCATGTATTTTGAAGATCTGTTATTAGGTATACAAATGTTTAGGACTATTATATCGTGTTGATTAATTTACCTCTTTGTCATTATGAAATGGCTTTCTGTTTTGCTGGTAATATTCTTGGCTTCAAAATTTATTTTTTCTGACATTAATATAGCCATTCCAAGTTTCTGCCAGTAATCCCAACCAGTGTTTTGCTTACTTTTAGGCCTTTTAGTTTTCATCTAAGACTTTTATATAGGAAAATTTTAGGTAAAAATTATTTAACCGCTCTGTGTCTTAGTTTCTTTTTGATTAAAGGGAAGTAATAAGAGTACCTACACCATAGAATTGTTTTGAGGATTAAACAAAATAATATCGTATATTCTACACCTGCACATGTTGCAGTGCAAACTCTGTGTCACAAAGTGTAGTCTATGGCTTTTGTTCCTACTATTACTGCTGCGTTTTAAAAAAAGGTTTTTTTATAAACATATGAAATAGAATTTGCGATTAATTTACATCTTCAAGAAGTATCTTGTTTGCTGTTTCATTAATCATCTTTAGACTAGATAAATTAGAACATCATCATGAAATTTATAAATGAATATGAACTCAAAAAATACCTGTATTTAATTTTGTTTTCTTACATTACTAATTTACCATCTATTTTACTTAAGAATTGTATTCTGGCCGGGTGCGGTGGCTCACGCCTGTAATCCCAGCACTTTGGGAGGCCTAGGTGGGCGGATCACGAGGTCAGGAGATCGAGACCATCCTAGCTAACATGGTGAAACCCCATCTCTACTAAATATACAAAAAAAAAAAAAATTAGCCGGGCATGGTGGCGGGAGCCTGTAGTCCCAGCTACTCGGGAGGCTGAGGCAGGAGAATGGCATGAACCTGGGAGGCAGAGCTTGCAGTGAGCCGAGATCACGCCAGTGCACTCCAGCCAGGGCGACAGAGTGAGACTCCGTCTCAAAAAAAAAACCAAAAAAACCAAAAAGTGTTCTAAAATATAGGTATAGTGTCATCATATTTTTCAAATTTATCGAGTTGCCATTTCAAGTATACTTGAATTGTACAATATTTTTCAGTTATTCTCAACTGCATATACCTCCGTTTAAATAAAAGACACATTGTGAAAGTACAAATTAGTCTTTTTTTTAAAAAACAAAGGAAATAAATGTTAACACATAATGATTTGTATGGGTCCTTCACATTGTTACTATTTATAATGGGTGATGCCTTTTTTTTTTAGATCGGACAGCTGGCTTTTAAAGGAATGAAGAGACTCAATAGAATCCAGTCAATAGTGTTTGAGACTGCCTACAACACCAATGAGAACATGCTGATTTGTGCCCCTACAGGAGCTGGAAAAACCAACATTGCAATGCTGACAGTCTTGCATGAAATTCGCCAACATTTTCAACAAGGTGTTATCAAAAAGAATGAATTTAAGGTAAGTAAATAAATCAGACAACAGCTTTTTAAATTGTAAGGAATAAAATAAATTTGCAGTTTTAATATTACATGAAATTTGAAAGTTCTTAAAGATATTGTACTTGAAGTCAGATAAGTAATACTGTTTGATTTACTTCATTACTATTAAGGCAGTTCTTATTTGTGTTATGAAAATTCTATTACCATGTAAGAAGCTATGAAAATACATCTATACAATTTTCAAAGTGATGTAGCTGTGTAAACAAATTCTATTGTCCTTTAAACAGCTACACACATATCTCACAAAGATAAGACTTTTAATATATCACTATTAAGATTTTTCACTGGAAGTAGTTAGAAACATATTTCACAATAAATTGTGACTTGTATTGGCTACTGTAAGACAAATGACATGGTAGTTTTTGCTCATTAATCAAGCTAGTGTTCCTTTGGTATAGATTGTATATGTTGCTCCAATGAAAGCCTTGGCAGCTGAAATGACAGATTACTTCAGCAGACGTCTAGAGCCACTAGGCATCATTGTGAAAGAATTGACTGGTGACATGCAGTTGTCCAAAAGTGAAATTTTACGAACTCAGGTATGTTGTTTACCTAGATTTTTTGTTTAATACCATTCTTTTTTTAGGTAATTGTGAAAATTATTAAATGACTATATCTTAAATAACTAGAATACATAATACAAACATAATATAGTGAACTTTTATTTGTAACCACATCTTGTCTCTGTACTACAAAGAGTTTTTGCTGGTTCTTTGTTTTCTGGTATCCCTTCTAACTCCTGTAATTCTTACTGCATCTCAAATATGGTTAGGTTCCAAGTCTATGGGCAGTAAGGCTATTCTTTTAAAATAGTAGGGATGAGGATATAAATAATACCAGAGTTTAATTTTAAGAGGAGGGACATATATAGATCTTAAAATGATTGCACTAGTATTCCAAACTATTCCATAAGAATGGCTTAACATATAATAAGCTTTTTGGTCATTCATTATTTCATCAAATGCAAAGTTATTATTATTAAATCATGCACTGTATATAGCACTATATTAGACGAAATGAATGAATACCTGACAATAAAGACACTTAAGACACAGTTTCTGTCTTCAAAAATCTTATGACTAAGTAAGAAAAAATATTTAGGTTTCAACTAGATGATTAGTATTGAAAGCAATATATAAGTAAGGTGAAGTTCATTGTGTTTTTAAAAAAATAAAATAGTGGATGACCAGATATTAATGGAAAAATTCATAGTTTGATGGAAAATAGATAATAGAACTTTTTAAACAATGGGCAGACGTTGATTTAAAATGTGATTGGGGTGTGAATTAATTTCCTAGGGCCCCCATAGCAAAATACCATAAGCTTGGTGGTATAGACCAAAAGTATCTGAGACAGGTCTCAATCAATTTTGAAAGTTTATTTTGCCAAGGTTAAGGATGCAGCAGTGACAACCTCAGGAGATCCTGATGACATGTGCTCAATGTGATTGGGGTACAGCTTGGCTTTATACATTTTAGGGAAACGTGAGACATCTATCAATACATGTAAGATATACATTTGTTTGGTCTGGAAAGGCAGGACAATTTGAAGTGGGGGCTTCCAGGACACAGGTAGATGTATAGATTTTCTGATTGGCGGTTGGTTGAGTTATTATCTAAAGAAAGGAATGTGGAGACCAAGGTTTTATCATGCCGATGAAGCTGATCTATTCAGTGAGAATAGTTTGTAAATGTTTCTTATCAGACTTAAAAAAGTCTGTTCTATCAGTAATTCCAAAAGGAAGGAGAGTATAATGAGGCATGTCCTGCTCTTACTTCCCATCATGGCCTGAACTAGTTTTTCAGGTTATCTTTGGAATGCCTTTGTAAGAGGAGGGGTCCATTCAGATGGTTGGGGGGCTTAGAATTTTATCATTGGTCTACAGTGGCTTAAAACAACTGTCTTAATTCTCTCACAGTACTGGAGTTTAGAAGTCTGAAATCAAGGTGTCAGCCGAGTTGTTTCCTTCTGGAGGCTTTGAGACAGTATCTGTTCTATGCCTCCTAGTTTCTGGTGGCTGCTGGAAATTTTTGGCATTCTTTGGTTTGTAGATTCATCACTCCAAGCTCTGCTTCCATCTATGTGACCTTTTCGCCCGCTTATCTTTTCCCCTACTCCCCTTTTTTAAGGATACTAGTCATTGGATTTAGGGCCCACCATAGTCAGGATGATCTCATCTTAACAACCTTTCCTTAATTACATCTGCAAAGATCCTTTTTTCAAATAAGGTCACACATATGGGCTGAATGTTTACATATCATCTCCCCGACCCCCCAAACACAATTTATATGTTGAAGCCCTAGTCCACAAGTAATTGTAGTTGGAGGTGAGGCCTTTGGGAGATAATTGGACTTAGATTAGGTCATGAAGTAGGGAGGACTGGGTGACAGAGTGAGACTCCATCTCAATAAATAATAAATAAATAAATAGAAATATTGATAGATTTAATTCAAAAAGACAAAGTTCTTTGTGACCTGAATAATTTTAAAGATTACAAAGGAGTCCCAAAGCCAAAACAATTTGAAAACTACTATGATAGGTGAAAGTGCCTTATATATGACATCAGATTCTTTTTATTGTCTACATCCAGCCTGGTTTTCAACCTTATCTCCCAGATGCTTCTCAATATAAACTATAGTCAGGCCATTTTTGCTTTTTCTAAAATAGCATTGCTCAAATAATATTTTCTTAAATGAACATTGCTTTTTAGTAAGTTTCCTCATGTGTTTTCTCCTTTTTCTTAGTATCTTCCTTTATCTATTGACATTTGTCCAAATCTTGCCCATTCTTTAAAACCCAGTTCAAATTCTGTATTTACTTCTTCCCTGAATCCCGTAGCACCATTCATTTATATTCATAAAATAATACCTAGTGCACAAAGTCTGTGCTTTTGGACCTGATGTAGTGTTAAAAACCTGAATCACTCTCAAGTAAAATTTTGATTGCTCTTGTCCTATATCCAACTATGTTACTGATGCTAATGCAAGAATGTTTGTGGAAAGACAAGGGAGATAACATTTAAATTCAATTTATGAGTTAGTCACTATGCTAAATGCATATGTGCAACTTCCCTGAGTCTTCACAAGAACCCTACTGGGTAGTACCTCCATTTTACAGGAGCAGAAAGTAAAACCAAAAAAATCTACTTAGACTTATGCCTAGTCTGTCCTGCAGACTCTGGCCAAGCAATGGATGTAAGAAGTATGCAGACACAGGTATTTTGCCTGAGACCATGGCTAGGGGACTGCACGGCTTAGCATCACTGATGAGAGTGCAGCCCTGCCAATGAGAGTGCAGCCCCAATAAGCGGGGGACATTTGCATTTATTTAGTACAGATTTAATGACAAAGGCTTGAAGCAAACACAATTTGTGGGTAATTAACATTGTGGACCACCCAAGTAGATAGCAGTCCTGTGTACACATGATCAAAGATTGGTTTCCAGAGACATAAGTAAACCATTTTATCTAGATCTAAGGTTCCCTTACATTCCCTTGTTGTCTACCCTTTGCCCTCTGCTTCAGGGTAAGAGAATTAGCCGCCTTCAGCTTTTATTCTCTCCCGAAGCTTTGCAAAACCTCCTGCCTTCCAAGAAGTTTTGAGCCTTTCCCTGTTAACTTTTCCCACCACCCTGACCGATCTCCTACAGATTTATGTATTTTCAAAAGGTTTATGAACATCTATTTCTTACCCATTTGCCCATTTTTGCACTTTGCTAGACTCTGTATCCTTCGTCAGTAATTTTTGACTGTGTAAGGGCAGGGACTATGTGCTTTGCCTCAGAAATAGTTTATTAATTGAACCTTTTGTGCTTGCTCTAATTCTGCAGGTGATAATTTTTGTAGAACTGAAACTATATAGTTTCTAATCTTTTTACCCTGTTCTTCTACCCTTCTCACAGATTCTTACAGATTAAAACCTGTTCTGCTGTCACTGCCTTTGAGATTAGGCTATAGAGAAAGCAAAGCAGAGAATTATGTAAAGAATGTGGGAGTACATACATATTCAACTTTTTTTGTGGAGTTTGAATTTCTTGCTTTCCTCACTTTCATTTTGTAATTTTCTTAAAGCTTCTTAATTATTCATGTTATATATTTTTGGTAAATAAGTTTCCCAATAATCAGCATTGATTAAATCAAATATAATCTTAAATTTGCCTTGTGATTTTTTCTAACTTTCTCCGTATTGTTAATCTTTTTTTAAATATAGGAAGGCAAATTAATCTCATTTGCAAATTTTCTGCCATGCCATTCTGATCATATTACTCTCTTGCTCATAAACTTTCATTGGTTCTTTATTGCTTATTGAATTAAGTCCAACTACCTAGCTTGTTAAGAATCTTGTATAAATTAAGTATAATATGAGATGTGATGTATTTTGTGGTTCACTAGGGACCTTCAGGTATAGCAGCAGTTATGATTTTATTGAGGTTTGAATATAAAATTTCCTTTTACAAGACAGAATTATATAATTATAAGATTTACTGTTAGGAGAAACAGTATAGACAACAAATACCTTTTTGGTGTACAGCTAAAAAGCAATTTTGTGCAACTTTGAAAAACACCATAAATTTGTCATTGGTTAAAACACTTATCTACTTTTCCAACCTTATTTTCCATTACTCTATATCTACCATTGGTTTCAAACTTCTCCCTCTAAATGTATCCTTGATGAAGAGTTACTATTTTACAATGTTCACTGTACTTTTCAGTGGTTCCATTGAGCAGTGTTCCTTTGAACATCAGTGAAAACACTGGTTAGAGATTTCTCCTGTCCTGGCAGTAACTGTGTTAAAGCAAAGCATTTGCTCTGAGTTCTGAATTGTTCTCTTCTTTTATATTTGTTTGCTCATCCTCGTAGGGGGAGGCGTTTACCTGTGTACCTTTGGGAGTTGAGATAGGTTATTTCAGGTTTTGTTTTTGTTTATTTTTTGCTTGAGGATAGAGGGAAATTCTGTTCAGATCTCTTAGGCCCAAGCAATTGCAAAGGCAAATCTGAATTTTCTTTGTATTACTCTGCTAGATCAAAGCTCCAGCAATTGTGGTTGACAGGGTGTGGGTGTTGTGTATACACATGAGCTCAGATCACAGGCAGTGTTCGATGTCACACTGCTCTGATCTACTCTTCTTTCAAGGGGATTTTTCCTATGGTATGTAGTCTATTGATTATTTCAATATATGGGATAAGGGTGGGAATAAAGGGTAGTTGGAGATAGGGGCAGATATTGTATATGCAGTTTTATCTGTATATCTATAAATTATATGCTTAAGTCCCATAAATGTACTGTTTAGTTCTCTGCCTGGCATTGGGCTTTTCGCTTTAAATTTCAAGCTACTTTACTAGCTCTGAGTCCCAGCTCTGAGCTCTGATTTTGGGCACCTTTCACCAATGAAGCTGTAGTTTTCTCTCCTCTTTTTGTGCAGCCATAGTCATGCATGTTGGATTATACCCTTGGGCCAATAATCTCCAAACTCCAATTCTTACTGGCAGTTGCTGCCTTTCTGCATAAAATCTGAGAATGTCTTTATTTCACTTCCATTCCTGAAGGACATTTTTGCTGGAAATAGATTCGTAGGTTGTCAGTTCTATTCTTCGTTTTTTATATTTTTATTTTTTAGAGAAAAGGTCTCACTCTGTCACCAAGGCTGGACTACAGTGGCACAGTAATGGCCCACTGCAGCCTCAGCCTTCTGAGCTCAAGCGATCCTCTCCTCTCAGCCTCCTGAATAGCAGAGATTACAGGCGCATGCCACCACATCCCGGTAATCGTTATTTTTTGTAGCAATGAGGTATTGCCATGTTGCCCAGGCTATTCCCAAACTCCTGGCTCAAGTAGTCCTCTTGCCTCGGCCTCCTAAAGTGCTAGGATTATAGATATCAGCTACCATGCCAGGCCTTCTTTTCTTTCAGCCCTTAAAAAGTATGCCAGTTTTCTTCTGACCTCTGTGGTTTCTGAAGAGAAATTCACTCCATTCAAATTATTGTTCTCTTATAGTTAATATGTTGTTTCTCTTGGGCTTCTTTAAAGATTCAAGATTCTTTCTTTATCTTTAGTTTCCAACAGTTTTATTATGAGCTGCCTAGATGTAAATTTCTTTTAAGTTCATCCTGTTGAGTGTTTGCTCAGCTTCTTGAATCTGCAGGTTTATGTCCTTTGTCAAATTTGGGAAGTTTCCAGCCTTTATTTCTTCAACCCGTCATGTTTTCTCCTTTACTTTTTGGATTTTGCTGATGGGAATAGATCTTTTGTTATTATCCCACAGGACAATGAGATCTAGATATTTTGTTTTGTTTTATTTTCCAATCTGTTCTCGCTCTGCTGTTCTGTCTGGATGATTTTTTTGGTCTATGTTTGACGCCACTGATTCTTTATTTTGCTGTCTACATTCTGTGGTTGAGCTCTTCCAATTAGTTTTTAACTTAGGTTATTATGCTTGTCAGTTCTGAACTTTCTATTAGGCTTTAAAACTATCTTCTATTTCCTTGCTGAGACATTTCTATTTTTTAATTTGTTTCAAGGGTGTTTGAAATTGCTCCTTGAAGGATTTTTATGATAATTACTTTAAAAGTCTTGTCAGAACCAAATCCAGCAGCACATCAAAAAACTTATCCACAACGATCAAGTTGGCTTCATCCCTGGGATGCAAGGCTTGTTCAACACATGCAAATCAATAAATGTAATCCATAAACCACACGATTATCTCAATAGATGCAGAAAAGGCCTTTGCTAAAATTCAACATCCCTTCATGTTAAAAACTCTCAATAAACTAGGGATCAGTGGAACATATCTCAGAATAATAAGAACTATTTATCACAGTCCCACAGCGAATATCATATTGAATGGGCAAAAGTTGGAAGCATTCCCTTTGAAAACCAGTACAAGACAAGGATGCCCTCTCTCACCACTCCTGTTAAATATAGTATTGGAAGTTCTGGCCAGGGCAATCAGGCAAGAGAAAGAAATTGGTATTCAAATAGAAAGAGAGGAAGTCAAATTGTCTCTTTTTGCAGACAACATGATTTTATATTTAGAAAACACTATCAGCTCAGCCCCAAAACTCCTTAAACTAATAAGCAACTTGGGCAAAGTCTCAGGATACAAAAATTAGTGTGCAAAGATCACAAGCATTCCTTTACACCAACAATAGACAAGCAGAAAGCCAAGTCATGAATGAACTCTCACAATTTCTACAAAGAAAATAAAATACCTAGGAATACAGCTAACAAGCGATGTGAAGGACCTCTTCAAGGAGAACTACAAACCACTGCTCAAGGAAATAAGAGAGGACACAAACAAATGGAAAAACATTCCATCCCCATGGATAGGAAGAATCAATATTGTGAAAATGGCCATCCTGCCCAAAGTAATTTATAGATTCAATGCTATTCCTATCAGTCTACCATTGGCATTCTTCACAGAATTAGAAAAAGCTACTTTAAGTTTCATATGGAATCAAAGAAGACCCTGGATAGCCAAGACAATCCTAAGCAAAAAGAACAAAGCTGGAGGCATCATGCTACCTGACTTCAAACTATACTACAAGAAATAACACCACACATTTACAACCATCTGATAAAGCTGACAAAAACAAACAATAGGGAAAGGATCTCCTATTCAATAAATGGTGCTGGGAAAACTGGCTAGCCATATGCAGAAAACTCAAACTGGACCCCTTCTGTATACCTTATACAAAAATTAACTCAAGATGAATTAAATATTTGAATTTAAAACCCAAAACCATAAAAACTCTAGAAGAAAACCTAGACATTACCATTCAGGACATAGGCATGGGCAAAGACTTCATGATGAAAATGCCAAAAGCAATTGCAACAAAAGCCAAAATTGACAAATGGGATCTAATTAAACTAAAGAGCTTCTGCACAGCAGAAGAAACTATCATCAGAGTAAACAGGCAACCTACAGAATGGGAGAAAATTTTTGCAATCTACCCATCTGACAAAGGTCTAATATCCAGAATCTACAAGGAACTTAAACATATTTACAAGAAGAAAACAACCCCATCAAAAAGTGGGCAAAGGATATGAACAGACACTTCTCAAAAGAAGACATTTATGTGGACGACAAACATATGTAAAACAGCTCAAAATCACTGATCATTAGAGAAATGCAAATCAAAACCACAGTGAGAGACCATCTCACATCAGTCAGAATGGCAATTATTAAAAAACCAAGAAACAACAGATGCTAGCAAGGCTGTGGAGAAATAGGAATGCTTTTACGCTGTTGGTGGGAATTAAATTAGTTCAGCCATTGTGGAAGACAGTATGATGATTCCTCAAGGATCTAAAACCAGAAATACCATTTGACTCAACAATCTCAATACTGGGTATACTCAGTACCCAAAGGAATAGAAATCATTCTACTATAAAGACACATACACACGCATCTTTATTGCAGCACTATTTGCAATAGCAAAGATAGGAAACCAACCCAAATGCCAACAATGGTAGACTGGATAAAGAAAATGTGGTATATAGACACCATGGAATACTATGCAGCCATAAAAAGGAATGAGATCATGTCCTTTGCAGGGACATGGATGAAGCTGGAAACCATCATCCTCAGCAGACTAATACAGGAACAGAAAACCAAACACTGCATGTTGTCACTCAGAAGTGGGAATTGAACAATGAGAACACATGGACACAGGGAGAACACATGGACACAGGGAGGGGAACAACACACACCAGGACCTATTGGGGTTTGGGGGGTGAGGGGAGGGAACTTAGAGGATGGGTCAATAGGTGCAGGAAACCACCGTGGCACACATATACCTGTGTAACAAACCTGCACACTCTGCACATGTATCCCTGAACTTAAAGTAAAATACAAATAAAGTGAAAATAACAATCTTGTCAGATAATTCCAACATCTTTGTCATCTCAGAGTTAGCATCTGCTATATGTATCGTCTCATTTGAGTTGATATTTTCCTGGCTCTTGGTAGGCATGTTATTTTCAGTTGCATCCTGGACTTTTTGAGTATTATGATATCAGAGGGCTTCCTATTTAAATCTCCTGGGTGGGATGGTAGCCGATACTCTTTTTACACATGTTCCCACCCATCAGTGCCAGTCTTCACACACAGTGAGTTGGGAGAGGAGCACTTTCATTCTCTGTGGTGTTTGGCTGGTGTTGTCAAAAAGATTCTGTTTCTCTTTGGTGCCCCCTCTCAGTCCTTTGTATAGAAAGAGAAGTCTTATTTTGTTTGTTTGGGGAGTTAGTTCTGCACCCATTGACTTTCTGAGTTGTGGGCTTCTTCACCAGTCTGGAATACACAGAAAGAAACTCCAGGAACTCCCTGCCAGCTCTTTCCTGATGTCCCTATCCAGTCCTACTTCTTTTTTCACTTTTCAGAATCTTCTGATGTCTGTTTCATGCATTTTGTCTAGGGTTATTAGGTGTAATAAGCAAGAATAAGATGAAAGATTTCTACAATATCTTGTTCAGCCATATAGACTTAAAATTATAAGATAGTCAAATTTATAAACTTCTTCTGTGGTTTGTGCCTTTTTTGTTCATTGTGCTTTTTTGAAAATCCCAGTTTATCCCAAGTGTATGAAGTTCTTCCACATTTTTCTTCTGAATGATTTAAAGTTTTATTTTTTAGATTTAAGTCTTAAGTCTCTCTGGATTTTTATTGTTACTTTGGTAAGAGCAGGGTTATTATTTTATTTCTTTACCTAAAGAAAGCCATTTTGTCATCATCTCTCTAGCCTTTTCTAGTGAATTATAATATTATCTTTGCCATATTCTCAATTCTAGTGTTGTCTTGTGGCTATTACTGAGCTGTGTTTGTTGTTGTTGTTGGTGGTGTGTGTGTGTGTGTTTGTGTGTGTATATCTGTATCTGGCCCTCCTTGAGGACTACACTGTTTTAATTACTATCATTTTAGTATAAGTCTTGATTATAAAGCAAATTCAGCCTCATTATTTTATTCTCATGTATTAGAATAGCCATAGCTACTTACTGAACATTTTAATTTTGAAATTGGACTCTTTCATTACATCAAAAGATCTGTTTGGGTTTTTATTAGAAGTATGTTTCTGCAATACTTTGAACAAAGTTAACACCTTTATTATGTCTCTCCATCTGTGAGCATTGCATATTTTCCAGTTTTTAAGTCTCTTTTAAAGCTCTTCAAAAATGTATTTCGTCATAGGTCTTGTACATTTTAAAAGATTAATTTCCAGATATCTTGTATTATTTGTCACTATTTTTAAAAAAAAATTTTATATTTCATAATGGCTGTTGTTGGAGTATAAGAACACTTGGTTTTATTCATATTATATCCCACAACCCTGCTAAGTATTCTTACTAATAGTTATAGATTATCTGTAAATTCTCTTTGACTTTCTGTGTAGGCAATGATATAATCTGCAAATTAAAGCAGTTTGACCCCAAAACTTTGAGAGAAGCCCAGCCTTAGAATCAGATATTTTCATCATTCAATTCCCTTAGTGTATATACATGTATAACGTTACTATTTTAAATATTTTCTCATCTTTTTATACTTTTGAACTGAGAGAAGGGAGTTTCCATAAGCCCAGTTGACTTTATTGAGTGAAGGTTACAATTTTATTATTCTAATGCTAATGAACAACAGACAAAATAATCACAGAATAGTGATTAAGACGTATGTCAAAGATTATTAAGAAAGTTTATTTTTTCTCATAAGTCTCGCACTTGCAAGCTTTTACTGAATTACTTAAGTTAAATTAAATTAAATTAAATTAAAAGTTGAAAATAGAGAAACATACATTACCTCTAAGGAAGAAAATTGATAAAAGAAATGTAGAAGTACTAGAAAGTTCAGAAGCACAAAAGTATTCTACCTGTATTTTTAACTTGTCGTACAAAGAAGTTTTTTTTTTTAATTATTTGGAAATACCATTTGTCATAACAAAATTTTGGCCAAGTGAAAATAAACATTCACTCAAACCAATTTTAAATCACTAGTGGTTTTTTGTTTAATAGCAGTTCCAGACCTAATAGAAAAATTCTTGATAAATTACTTTTGTATTGTATTCCAACAATAAGATTTTTACATATATGAATCTTAAAAATCTCCTAATGATATCTGTTAACATAAATATATATTTTTTGATATTTTTCCATGTAGATGCATAACTAAAAAAAGTTTACTATTTTTTTACAAAAAAGGTTTGTTACTTCTATAGAGTTTGGAAGTTCTTTTCAAAGTAAATTTGAATTTTAATATTGTGAAGTATACCATGTAAAGTATCTTGATACATGTAGTTTGTCCAGTAGTTAGCTTTTTGATAAAACCAAAAGCTTATTTAATTTTATGATTCTGGGAGGTCTTTGTTTTGTCTGTATTCTTACTTTGTGAGTGAAAATGAAAATAATAGAAATATTTGAAATTTAAACTTTTATTATACTCTAGAACAGGTTGGCCCAGTGTGTGTTTGTGTGTGTGTGTGTAGCAGAACAATATTTTGGGGAGCTGCTGAATGAATGACATAATTCTATACTCAGATGGTCATGTAGTCTGATCTTTAAGAGTGATTCCTAATTCATGTCAATATAATAAAGACAATAAACAAAATTAGCTGGGGGTGCAGCTGCTCAGGAGGCTGAGGTGGGAGGATCACTTGAGCCCTAGAGGTTGGGGTTACAGTGAGCGTGGTGGTGCCACTGCACTACAGCCTGGGTTTATAGAGCAATACCTCATCTCAAAAAAAGAAAAAAAAAAGAGGAAGCACATTGGGGGAAAATATATATATAATAGAGATTACAGTGCTTTGCAGGAAGGTTAATTTATTTAACATTATAAACTTAGCATTTTCCAAACTTACTTGAACACAGATCCATTCTTTCATAGAACAATTATTAATAGAACTTGCTTTGAGAAATGCTGTTCCAGAACATTTTTACTGAATTAGCAAAAGAGTGTTCCAGTGAGAAAGAGTTAATTCTACTTTTGAGAGTTTTAAGAAACCCAGGTGCAGAAAGGCAGACATCACATGTTCTCACTTATTTGCGGGATCTCGTATTAGTCCATTTTCATACTGCTATGAAGAAATACCCGAGACTGGGTAATTTATAAAGAAAAAGAGGTTTAAGGGACTGACAGTTTCACATGGCTGTGGAGGCCTCACAGTCACGATGGAAGATGAAGGAGGAGCAAAGACATGTCTTACATGGCAGCAGGCAAGAGAGTGCATGCAGAGGAACCACCCTTTATAAAACCATCAAATCTCGTGAGACTTATTCACTATTATGAGAACAGCATGGGAAAAATCCACTTCCATGATTCAGTTACCTCCCACTGGGTCCCTCACACAATACATGGGGATTATGAGAGCTACAATTCAAGATAAGATTTGGGTGGTGACACAGCCATACCATATCAGATCTAAAAATCAAAACAACTGATCTAAAACTCAAAACAATTGAATTGAAAATCATTGAAATTGAAGAGTAGTACAATAGTTACTAGAGTATGGTAAGGGTAGTAGGGTGGGTATGGGGAGGTGGCGATGTTAAAGGGTACAATGAATAAGACCTACTATTTGGTAGTACAACAGGTTGACTTTAGTCAATAATAATTTAATTGTACATTTTAAAATAAGTAAAAGTATAATTGGATTGTTTGTAACAAACAGTTGAGGGGATGGATAACCCATTCTTCTTGATATGATTATTATTCATTGCTTGCCTGTATCAAAACATCTCATGTACCTCATAAATACCTACTGTGTACCCACCAAAATTAAAAATTAAAAGAAATCAACACCAGGTCAATGTTTTATGTTGCATTGGCATTTCCTTTAAAGCATTTGGTCTTCAACAAACCAGATTATGTTAAAGTACATTTGTTTTAAACCAAACTTTTTTGTCAACACTTATAATTTCTTGTTATATTTTATGACTAATTATACTTTTTTTGCTTTATAATGTTGCAATTGATATTTAATAAAATTGTATCCATTGTTAGTAGTAGCCTGCAAAATGTTTTCTTAAAACAAATTGCTAAAATACATTAAATATAAAAAGGCTGTGCATTTTCAGCACAATTATTGAATAGTTAAATAGTAGGAATTTGAATTTAGTCATGGTTTAAAATTGATGATGAACTCTTTAGGTCTTCTGTAAAACACTAAGAAATTGCAGTGTCATATAGTGACCATATTAGTAATTAATATTAAATATTTTGAAATTAGTAAAGCAAATTGATTTTATGTTCAGCCTGTTACCTTAGGCCTAATGATTATGGTTCTTTATGCAGTGTTTCTTTTTGCCCAAATAATATAACAAAAACAGTTGTCTCTTAGCATATACTGTCCTCCATATTACAGATAAGATTGCTTGTTTCAAAATGTCAGCACATTCTTTGATCACTGCCACTACTCTAATTTTCTCCTCTAGATAGAAGACATTTTGCAGGACGCAGTGGCAAGAGCCTGCAGTACCAACTACTCGAGTGGCTAAGGCAGGAGGATCACTTAAGCCCGGGAATTTCAGGCTATAGTGCACTATAATTGTATCTGTGATTAGCCACTGCACTCCAGCTTAGGCAACATATTAATAGCAAGACTGTTTTTTTTTTTAAAAAAAAAAAGGGCACCTGTTTGATTTGTCCATTTTTTCATGCCCTTTACTGATGACATTAATACAACCTTCCTCCTTATCATGTCACTTTAGTTTTTTTCATTGGATGCTAAAGTATAAATATCACTTTAATTTTAATGGTGATATTTTAGGATAGCTGATAGCCATTCTATTGTCAAAAATAAATGTTTTGTTTTGTTTTGCTATTGAATATTTTAGCAAAAAACTACTTGCCAATGATCTTGGTCAAATTTAAAATATTAATTAGAATTGTTACCTTTTCTTTCTCTAATTTCAATTTACATGAAATATAAACATCATTAACTTTATTTTGTTCACGTTACTTAGGATTTTGATGTATATTAATGCGAAATTTCAATAAGCTATGATCTTCAAAGTTTTTGATTGGTAAGAGTGTGGTGCTTATAAGAATCAGGTTAGAGCCATATAATTTGGCCCTGCTCCTGGCTTTAGAAATCCCTTCATGTCTGTGCTCTGAAAGGGGCCTATTTACTTCAGAATTATCTCTGCACAGAATTATACTATACAGAAGGAAAATAAGCAGATAAATAGTTTAATAATTATATTTCTTATTTTGGGTTTATCAAATCATTTACTCTCCTTTTTTCATACTTACTCTCATATTTTTCTACATTTGAGAGACATTCCATTTAATTTTAAACCAGAGATCTGGATTATGAATGAAACAACTTTTTTATTAAGACTTCTTATGTACAGTATTGAACTGTCTGTTGCAGAGTTCTTATAATTTGATCAAAATATATACAGTGGTTTTGGGGGGCATAAATTTTGATTGGCTCATGAAAATAGAATTTAGCCCATTTAATGTTCTGGACATCATTCTAAAAGGTTGGAGGATAAACAGATGTCATATACCAAAATAACTTTCCTAGCAGGCAGTTTTGAATCTGAGCACATAGGATGACAAAGTAACTTCTTAAATAGTGAGTTTGGTTTTAAACATGTTGAGTAGGAAAAGATGGCTGAAGGTATTAACAAACTGAATTAGATGGGCAAACTACTTCAAAAGGATTCTGGAAACATTTCTAGAGTAAGTTGGAAATGTAATGCCACTTTATTTGGGTTTCCATATATAATTTCTAGTCTAACTGTTTAAATGTGCTTTAAATGTGCTGTACTTAGAGATTAGCATTTCCTGAATCTCATTAGCTTTGCCCTCCTGTTTCATAAATGATTTAATCTCTTTTACATGGAGATGTTTAAAAAAATAAACACAAACCAGCAAGATAATATAAACTTCAGGTTGGTAAGAAAGGAGAAGGAAAATATGAGTTGGATTAAAAAGAGAAACTGAGAATAATACTGATGCAATAATGCAGGTAATAAAATCCAGGAAAACTAAACAGGTTTATAAATCACAGTGACCATTTGATCTGGAAAAGCACAGCTGTTCTTAAGGGTAAGAGGCAGAAACATTTCCCAAGGACTCCTATAAAAAAGAACAATCAGTAATATAATGAAAGAAATTCTCAAAAACATCTCTCCAATAGATGCTATGGTAAATTTTATGGACCTTTTTTAAAAACATGGGTCTGATGTTTAGGAATCTATAGACCTGTATAAAGTACAAGGGTAGTTTGTGTTTCCTTCTCTTTTAGGGAGTTAGTAATATGGCATATTTCCTCATGGCCAGATGTTTAGTATTGAGGACTTTAGCACACTTGCTAAGGTTCTTAACTGTTAAATTATAGGCAGCCTTTGCTTTCCGTGGTAGTGTGTGACCATATAAATGAGCAGGTAAGCTGAAACCCTGCAACTTGGCGTTAGCAGTAAATGGACAAATGTTTACAATGCGGTCTTGAGCAGCTCCCTATAATCAAACACATTAATGTTTTTACAGCAAAACTTTTTGGTGTTTATATCAAGCATAAAAAATAATTTGTCTTTTGGAGTGTTTTTTTTTTATTGGATGTACAATTATGGACCTGCATGGTAACGTGTCTATAGGAAAATGCATTTATATTCACACACTGGGAAGCCAGAAGCATAGCACTGCCTCTGGTTACTTTTGTAAGCTGTGGTAGGGGTCTGGGATGTCTTTCCTTATTTATGACCGTATTTGTCAGAAATTCAAGAACCCTGGGGAAGGAACTCCTATAGAATAAGGTTTAGGTGTGAGGTAGGAAGTAGTATGACTGTGTTTTTTCCAAAGACTTGAAATAAATTTATGATAGAAATTTAATTTAATTTTCTATAACTAGCATTAATGCTAAAGATATATTAGTGTAACATAACATTTTAGTTTGTATAAGAAACTTGGGTCAGAAATATTTCTCAGCCATATGAATTGAGTGATTGAGTCTAACTACCTTGAGGAAGAATTTGATATAGTAAATCTAGATTTATGCAAGCATGAGGGAATAGTCTAAGGGCTATTCAATTTATCTGGATTATGAGCCAGTGAAAATCTGATAAGTAGTGGTACTTCCCTCCCACTAGAGTTTGAATTAGGGGAGCAAATAAGCACAAATATGTAAAATTCCTCACAGTATGTTGTAGTGATTCATTGCTGTAAAGTGAAGAAACCCTGCCCCAAGGTGACCATCAGAGGAAAGGGTACTTTGATTTGGGAATTACAATTCTGGAGTGACTTTGATATCCACTGACATTTCTACACACTTGAGTGGTCACCAGCATTAGTACAGGTTTTACCTACTAAAATCTGTACTACAGATTTTACCTGTGGCATGCTGGCACTTTGTTTGCTTTTGTTTGTTAAGCATCTAATGTTTTATAAAAGAATGGTGAAGTATATATTGCTAGGTATTCAGTGCCACAGATGCAGATGAAAAGGTTTCATAAGCTATATTCTTTAAAAACTATGTAGTTATAAGGAGATGTAGATCTGGTTAGTGAGAATCTTATACAGGAATGGTTTTTAAGGATGCTGGGGTAAATGCATTTCATGAGTCTTATGATACAGCTTGTGTTTTTCACAAATGTTGGTATGTAGCTAGAAATTCCATGACAGTTCCAGGAAAACTATATTGTCTTGGCAGACATAATTCACTCTTTAAACAATCAGTTCCTCTAAAAATTAAACTTTATTGATAGAGCAGGAACTTCATAATTCAGACACATCAGATTTCTTCTCCTAAGGCATCCACAAAAACATAAGGGCATTCTCCATACTCATTAGTATCTGTGATATTTTCTGATATTGTCTATTTGTTCTCATCATATACCTTTGAAATTTTTAAGGTTATTTTATTAAATGTCTAAAAGTTCAAGTTTCACTTGTGATGTCACATGAATAAGCAAGTACAGAGATCCTGGAATCCTGAAAGCTTGATAGTTTGGGGCAATTTTTTTTAGTTTCAAGTAGTTCTTGATCTGAAGCAAGTTTTCTATTGTTTGGGGGCAGTTATTTTGGTCAATTTTCCAGGCAGTTTTTGTCAAAAAGGCTCTTGTCTCACAAACACTGCAATAGAACCGCAAATTTGCTGTAAACCTAAAATACAAGTTTTGAGCTGGTTAATTAAAGGAATTGTAGAGAGCTGTATTTTCTGTAACTTCCTAGTTTCTCTTGAATTTATATTTTGAATTTATATTTTACACATTAAATATTAATTTTATATGTAAAATTATTTGACATAATTTTATATAAAATTTATTTCTATATATCAGTACTAGAAATATATGTAATCTTATTTTTCAGAGCTTTGTGCCATTATACTCATAAATAGTTTTCTAAAGGAAATTAGTTGTGCTTGGATTCATCATTGATTTTAACCTTGGTTGAATACATAGACATATTTACTACCTATTGTTCTTAGATAATTGCAGTCAACGGAACATTAGAGGGCATTCCTCTTTATGATAAATATTATTTTAGATCATATATTTTAAACCATTTTGAATCCTAAAGGTCATTTTCAAGGTATGTTGTTGCATAGTTTTACATTTCTAACTGTGGCTTTGTAGCACTTTTAAAAATCAATTCAAATTAAAAGTGACTTTTATTTTCAGTATTTCCATACCCCACAATTTTTTCTGATTCTAAAAGGATAATATTCTCATTGTAGAAAAGTTTAAAAATGCAGATTACAGAGATGTTTAGTATATACCCTTTTAATCAATTTCCTAGTAAAATATTTAAAAATGAAAGTTGATTGTATATTGTTTTGTTAAATTCTTTTCCAGGGAATATTTTTGCATATTATTAAATACTAGTTCATATTATGTGACATTTGATAGCTGCAGAGTATTCCTATCTTAGATATACCAAGTTAACTGTGTACTTCTGATGACTTACTTATTAAGAATAACGTTTTTCGTTCACTCACCTACAGCAAATTGAACACTGTTTGACGGGGAAGAGGCAAAAAGAATATCTCAAAAACTAAGTTGATATGGAGGAGAACAAATAGTTCCCTTTTAGTATTAAAGTTGATTCTTCATGAACTTCAGGAAAAGGAAATTTCCTCACATTCATATTTATCAGTCACATTACCACAGATGTCTTCTGTTTTAGCCATCGGCATAGGCTTAAATTTCTTTAAGCCCAGAGATTCCTTGGGTCTGGTCCCCTTAAAGTGTTCTTTGTCTTTTCTGCTGATGGATGATAGGCATGTGTACAATGCACTCCTCTAGACTTACTCATTGAATGGTCTATGGGTTATCCACTTCTTGGCGCTCCAGGTAGAACTCTTCTTTTTCTCCAGTCATGAAAGCACAACTGAATGCAGACTAATCTTGGATCTGCTATGTCTAAAAAATAAGATTAAGATTATTTTCAAATATAATACTTCAGTTCTCATTATTATTTAATTTATATATTGTAAAGTATTTCATATATTTTAAAGGAATATTGAGCAGGCGAATACATTGTGTGAAAGATGTGGTGCTTTTTGAGGTGATTCAACTGTGTCTGAGGCAGGCCCAGAACTCCAACTCCAAAACTAACAGTCTGAAAGAATAATATCTGTGCTCTCTAGTCTTTCCAATTTACCTTAAAAACATTTTCACTGGATAGTGCTTTGTTTCATCAAGTTATAGAAGACTAAAATATTCAAAAACAGTATCTTGTTTTACTGTTATTATTTAATACAATGTATAGAAAACAATTTGAGGATAACGGTTGGTACATAATTCGCTTTCAACAAGTATTAGTTCCTTTCTGCTTCCTCATTTTTTTTTTAATTTCTCCCCCTAACTTACTATACTTCATGAAACATAGCCCCAAAGTATTGACTTGATGATTGTGCTACATTGACTGTTCAAACTAGGCCTGGCTCTTACAATTCAAAGACAAAAGAAAAAGTAGATTATTTTCTTCCCTGTTTAGAAATGGCAATACAGTAAACATGAGTGGTACTTACTTGGAAGTAAGTTGACTTCTCTTTGACTTACCCATTTGGCAGAACAGTAATCTATAGAATTGATCCTAGAAGAAAACCTTTTGAAGAGTTGATTTAAAAGAAGGCTCTTATTTTAAATTTTATCCTTTTTCTAAATAAGAGGATAAAAGCTATTTATTCATTCCTAAATTTCAGACTTTTCTTATTAGAAAAGAAAATAGTAATCAATTATATTCTAAGGAAAGCACTAGATACTACATGATACATTTAATGCAGGTATACTGGTTGATCTTTAAACATTTTATATCAGCTTTATTGAGGTATAACTAATGTGCACAAAATATACATTTTAAAAATACAATTTGATGAGTTTTGACATGTGTATACCTATGGAACCATCATCACAATCAAAATAATTCATCCCTCTCTCTTCCTCCTGCTGTCCTCAAACACCCATTGAAATGCTTAATGTGACTACAGATTTGTTTACATTTTTAAAATTTTATATATGTGGAGTCACACAGCGTATACATTTTTATCTGGCTTCTTTCACTTACATTATTATGTTGATATTTATCCATGTTGTTGCATGTATTAATAGTTCATTTTTTTGGTACTGCTAAGTATATCAAGTTGCTTGGTTATACCATGGATTGTTTATCCCTTTAATTTTCACAGACATATGGCTTGCTTCTAGTTTTTGACTGTTACAAATCTGCTGTGAACATTCATGTACAAGTATTTGTATGGACGCATGCATTCATTTTGGGATAAATACCTAGGAGTGGAATTGCCTGACATACAGTAGATGTTTTTTTGAGAAACTACCGAACTGTATTCCAAAGCAGCAATACCCTCCACCAGCCAAGTATTGAAAGTTCCAGTTTCTCCATATCTTCTTCAAAACTTGTATGAGTACTCTTTGTAATTTTAGTTATTCTAGTTGGTGTGTAGTATCATCTGGTTATTTTCATTTGTATTTCCCCAATGACTAATGATGTTGAGCATCTTTTTATGTTTTTTTTTTTTGCAACTATATGTTTTCTTTGGTGTTGTGTGTATTCAAGTCTTTTGCCCTGTCTAAAATATTTCAAGTGGGTAGTTTGTCTTGCAATTGAGCTGTAAGATGTATGACTGAATACAAGCTCTTTGTTGGATACGTGTTTTGCAAGCATTTCCTTCCAACTAGTAGGTTTGCCTTTTGACGTTTGTAACAGTGTCTTTTGAACTTCCAGCATCAAATTGACTTGACACCTCTATTGAAAACAAATTGACTGTATATGTGTGGGTTTATTTTTGGATTCTGTTTCTTTGCATCAATTTATATATTTATCTTTATGCTAATACCATACTCATGATTTTATAACTATATGTTAAGTTTTGAAATCTGGTTAAGTCTTCCAACTTGTTCTTTTTCAAAGTTATTTTGATTATTTCAGGTCTTCTCATTTCCATATGAATCCCATGTGGTTTTCACTAATTTTTGATAACTTTTTCCACCTATTACTATATAATTTTACCTTGTAATGATAACAGCAAAGAATGTTATAAAAGTGCAAATAGTGAGGCTTCTAGCTGTTATTAATTCATTTGCAAATCTTGCACTCCCAGAAAACATTGCATTAATGGTAGTACAACCTTAAGTGAGTGAAAGGAATCTGAAGTTTTAGAAAGTAGGAAAAAATTACCCACAACCCTTAGGATATTGATCCTTCTAAAATATTTAATTTTTTAAACACTTTTCATTTTGTTTTCCATCTCATTTCAATGCATATTCTTTTTAACAGAAAAATTAATAGACAAAACTAACATATCTAGTCACAAGTTATTACAAGTACATATACTATTTAACTTGTTCTAAGATAGATTAGATTAATATATTTAATTAGAGGCAGTATGGCATAAGTAAAATAGTCTATGGAGTAGATCACCGGGATTGAAACCCTACCTCAGCCACTTAGGTCTTTGGTCAGGTTACTCAAATTCTATGTGTTTTAGTTTCTTTATTTTAAAAATTGTTCTGTTAAAAGTTGGATTGATGATTTTACCTGAAAGTTAACTGATTTTATACATGTGAAGTGTTTGGAATAGTTCTTGGCACACAATAAGTTTTCAATAAGTATTAGCTATCTTTTAAGAAAGCTATACAAATAAGCTGCTTTATATCCTGCTTTTTTATTATTTTAAAATATACCATGAACGCCTATCTATGTCGATAGATATATATCTAAAAGAAATTTAATGACATTGACAAAGTGGGTTACTGATTGATGGGAAAAGACTAAAAGGTTACTGATTGATAGAAAAAGACTAGACACACAAACCTGCCACGTATCCCTCATTTATTAAACTAGGAAATAGAGCAGTACTGCTCAATACAGTAGCCACTAGCCATAAATGACTGTTAAAATTAAAATTAAATAAAATTAAAAATTATTTTCCTCATTTGCAATTAGCGTGATTTCAACTGTTCAGTAGTTACCAGTGGCTACCAACTTGGATAATGCAGATACACAGAACATTACGGTTATCACAGAAAGTCCCTTCCAACAGTGCAAACATATGCTTAAAGAAAGCATGATGGCAATACAGAACAGGAGCAGAGGGAGTGTATGTGCATGCATCACATTTTCTTGTTGTTGTTTTTTGTTTTTTTTTTTTGGTTAGGTTTTTTTTTTTGAGACCAAGTCTCACTCTGTCACCCAGGCTGGAGTGCTGTGACACAATTTCAGCTCACTGCAACCTCCACCTTCTGGGTTCAAGCAGTTCTCTGTCTCAGCCTCCCTAGTAGCTGGAATTACAGGAGCCTGCCACCATGCCTGGCTAATTTTTTTTTTTTGAGATGGAGTCTCGCTCTGTCACCCAGGCTGGAGTGCAATGGTGCAATCTCGGCTCACTGCAACCTCTGCATCCCAGGTTCAAGCGATTCTCTTGCCTCAACCTCCTGAGTAGCTGGGATTATAGGCGCGCACCAACATGCTCAGCTAATTTTTGTATTTTTAGTAGAGATGGGTTTTCATCGTGTTGATCAGGCTGGTCTCTAACTCCTGACCTTGTGATCCGCCTGCCTCGGCCTCCCAAAGTGCTGGGATTACAGGCGTGAGCCCCCGCACCTGGCCCACTTTTCCTTCATTATGAGACACACAGTTGCTTGGTGCTGCCACAGTTCAGAAAAAAGCCAATTGTTACTAAGTCACTCCACTCCCCTTTTATAGAAGTTAAGCTTACAGTCTCTTGGCTTTAGCTTAAGGGAATGTTTACAAACGTCATGCTTTCCTGATTCTTGAACCAATTTTGACACAATTCTCAAACATATGGTGAGAATTCTCTGCTTCTAGCTTCCTAGGGTCTTGCAGAATGCTCTCTGCATCATATGAATATTTTATATTTATTTAACTCTTCCTTGGGCATTTGTTTATAGCATTTCCAAATTTTTCCCTTTGGAAAAATCAGAGTGTATATGATTACCTAAAAGTACATACCACAAAATAAATAGTATATAATAGCTAGTAAAAACTCTGTAAGTTGAAAAATGGACATGCCTCCTGAATAAAACATCGAAGACTGCAAAATGACCCTGTACAACTCCAGGATTTTAACACATTCAAATTAGTAACTGGAAATACTATTTTTATTAGTTTGTCATTTCATAATTTATCATTATAAAAGTTAATTTTGATGTTATCCTATATTATCAAGTTACCTATAGTCTTCACAGAAAATTAGAAAGCAGCTTGACTTCTAGACCTTGTCTCTTTATATTACATATTTAGGCACAGAAATTGTTGTTACTATGTTGATTGTACTTTGCTCTGGAAAATACAGTTCAGTTTTATAACCTACCTATAATAATCAGTAATCTTTGCCCCTACTCCTCCATTCTCCTTCCCAGTGCTCTATTTGGTATAAAGAGCTAAAAATAAAATAAAATAAATTTAAGCTACTTGATAAAATATGGAATAAAAAACTAAGGGAAAGTAAAATGATACACGGTGTAGATTTTTATCAGCACAAAAGGATTTGTTTCAGCTTCTGGATTTGCTGAAGGTTTGAGCTTCTGCTAAGGATAAGTAAGGACATTCAGGGTAAAATCCTTTATGTAGCTTGATAAAGTACTGTGTATCTTTTTCATATATCAGTTCAGTATGTTAATCATTTAACAATCAGTGTTTAATAAGCTACTTAAGCATAAATACAATTTTAAAAATAGTTTAAAAACCCTGCATGATGGTAATGATGATGATGTTAGAAAACACAATTGATCCCTATCTGTCAGGCATTATTTTAAAGATTTGTGAGTATTAATGTGTATCATATTCATTATAATCCAGTGATATGTAGGTACTGTTATCTTTTCATCTTGTATTGTAGGGAACTGTAGGATTTGTACTAGTAGGTGTATAATAAATATTTGATAAATGCATGAGTGAAAGATATTGAATGTGTTTTCATTAAACCTTCATAATATATCAGATATAGTATATTGATAAATGAGGCTCTAAGAATATAGATTTAAGAATGTTAATAAATTACTATTTATACAAATATAGAATTGAAACCATGTTAATAGGACCACCCACTCTGCTTTCTTGCTTTGGAGGAAATTAAGCCAGGAGACCTCAGTTGTTGCCTTATGGGAGATAAGGGAGTAAAAGGTGGCCTGTTTTGATAGGAGAGTCCGGGGGTGAGGGAGAAGACTGAGGATTGAAGGGGATGGGGAAGTCACGAGACAGGAGCATTATAAAAATCTATGAGTCAAGAATCAGCTTATGGCCGAAATCGAAGATGGCCAATTAGAAGCAGCTGCAGTCTGTGGCAATCATGAAGCGGAATGAAAGGGGCAAGTGATAATAGCACCTTCAACTGAAATATCCAGGTTCTCACATTGTGACTGATTAGGCAAACAACTCAACCCATGGATAATGAAGAAAAGCAGGGTGGGATGATGGCCCACCCAAGAGTGGCACAGAGCCAAAGGACTCCCCACCCCCGGCCAAGGGAAGAAGTGAGTTATTGTGTGACCCCACCTGGGAAACCACGCTTCTCCCAGGAAGCAACCTGTGGACCAGGAGATCTCATGAACCCACTCTACCAGAGCCTTGGGTCTGATACACAGAGCTGTGCAGAGTCTTGGCAGAGCAGCCACTCAGGCACACACAGAAACCCAGGACTTTTGCATAGTATGGCCTCGAGATCCCTGGCAAGGCGAGAGAGGTCCACCTGGACATTCCCCTAGGTAGGGGGCTGAATCCAGGAAGCCAAGCAGCATTGTTCTGCAGGCCTCACTTCCACCACACCTGACAAGATAAGATCCACTGGCTTGGAATTCCAGCCAGCCAATGGCAACAGGGTTGAGTCTACCTGAAACAGGATGGAGTTTCTAGGGTGAGGAGGATGGGGGCTGCCTTCTCTGCAGTTTGGTCAACTCAGCCACTCCAGCCTGCCAGCTTTGGAGAGTCCAAATGGTCTAGATGAAGAAAGGTCCCCTCCAAAGCAGCACAGCTGCTTTTCCAGACCATGGCCAGACTGCTTCTTTAAGCAGGACTTGGATGCATTTGCCCTCACTGGGCAGTACCTCCCTGTGGGGGCTTCAGCCACTCCAGCCAGTGTTATACAGACAGGGCTCTGATCTCTCCCTGGGATGGAGCTCCTGCAGTTAGGGGCAGCTGCCATTTCTTGGTTCAGTCAATTCAGCTGTTCCAGCCTCCTGCCTTTGGAGAGTCCAAACAGCCCAAATGTGGAAGCGTACCCCCTAATGCAGCACACCTGGTAAACCAAAAAGCAGCCAGAATGTATCTCTGAGCAAGTCCCAGATTCTGTTCCTCCTGACTGGGTGAGACCTCCCAACAGAGGTCTTCAGCCACCTCCTTCAGGCACGTTCAGGCCAACAACAGGTCAGTACCCCCTGGGATGGAGCTTCCAAAGGAAGGAGCAGGGTGCCATCTTTGCTGTTTCATAGTCTTCACTGCTGGTGATACCTCCAGGTATGAGTAAAACTGAGCCAACTAGGATCTGGAGCAGACCTCCAGCAAATCACAGCAGTCCTACAGAAGAGTGGCTTGACTGTTAAGAGAAAAACAAACAGAAAACAGCAATATCAGCATTGACAAAAGGACCCCAAAAACCCCAGTCAGAGATCAGCAACCTCAAAGATTGAAGCTAAATAAGCCCGCAAAGATGAGAAAGAACCAACACAAAAATGCCGAAAACTCAAAAATCCAATGCCTCTTCTCCAAATGACCACAATACCTCTCCAGCAAGGACATAGAACTGGTTTGAGACTGAGATGGCTGAATTAACAGAAGTAGGCTATAACAAACTTCACTGAGCTAAAGGAGCATGTTGTAGCCTAGTACAAAGAAGCTAAGAATCAAGATAAAACAGTACGAGAGCTGACAGCCAAAATAGCCAGTTTTGAGATAAACATAACCAACCTCATGGAGCTGAATAACACTACGAGAACTTCACAATACACTCACAAGTATCAGTAGCAGAATAGACCAAGCAGAGAAAATCATCTCAGAGCTTGAAGACTGTCTTTCTGAAATAAGACAGGCAGAGAAGAATAGAGAAAAAAAGAATGAAAATAAGTGATCAAAGGCTCTGATAAATATTTGATTAGGTAGAAACTGATCCTACGACTGATTGGGGTACCTAAACGAGATGGGGAGAATGGAACCAAGTTGGAAAACATACTTCAGGATATCATCCAGGAGAACTTCCCCAACCTAAAAAGACAGGCCAACATTCAAATTCTGGAAATGCAGAGAACCCTACTAAGATAATCCATGAGAAGATCAATCCCAAGACACATGATCATCAGATTCTCCAAGGCTGAAATGAAAGAAAAAATGTTAAGGGCAGCCAGAGAGAAAGGCCCAGTCACCTACAAAGGGAAGCCCATCAGACTAACAGCAGACCTCTTAGTAGAAAACCTACAAGCTAGAAGAGATTGTGCACCAGTATGCAACATTATTAAACAAAAGAATTTCCAACCCATAATTTCCTATCTGGCCAAACTAAGCTTCATAAGCAAAGGAGAAAGAAGATCCTTTTCAGAGAAGCAAATGCTGAGGGAATTCATCACTACCAGGCCTGCCTTGCAAGAACTCTTGAAGAAAGCAGTAAATTTGGAAAGGAAAAACTATTACCAGTCACTACAAAAACACATTGAATTAAACAGAGCAGTGACACTGTGAAGCAACCATATAACTAGCCAATATCATGATGACAGGATCAAATTAATGTGTAACAATATTGATGTTACATGTAAATGGGCTAAAAGCCCCAATTAAAAGACACTGAATGGCAAGCTGGATAAAGAGCCAAGATCCATCAGTCTGCTGTTTTGAAGAGACCCATATCATAGGCAAAGACACACATAAACTCAAAATAAAGGAGTGGAGCAAATGGAACACAGAAAAAAGCAGGGGTTGCCATTCCTAGTTTCTGACAATGCAGATTTTAAACCAACAAAGATAAAAAAAGACAAGGAAGGGTGCAATTCAACAAGAATTGCTGACTAACCTAAATATATGTGTCCAATACAGGAGCACCCAGATTCATAAAGCAGGTTGTTAGAGACCTACAGAGAGACTTAGATTCACACACAGTAATAGTGGGAGACTTTAAAATCTCACTGACAATTTTAGACAGATCACTGAGACTGAAAATTACAAAGATATTCATGACCTGCCCCCAGGTTTGGATCAAGTGGACCAGATAGATATCTACAGAACTCTCCACCCAAAAATCAACAGAATATACATTTCTCTCATTGCTGCATGGCACTTACTCTAAAATTGATCACATAATCGGAAGTAAAACACTCCTCAACAAATGCGTAAAAACTGAAATCATAATCAACAGTCTTTCAGACCACAGTGCAATCAAATTAGAACTCAAGATTAAGAAATTCAGTCAAAACCACACAACTACATGGAAATTAAACAACTTGATCCTGAATGAAACTTAGTTAAATAATGAAATTAAGGCAGAAATCAAGAAGTTCTTTCAAAATTATGAGAACAAAGAGACAGTGTACCAGAATCTCTGGGATACAGTGAAAGCAGTATTAAGAGGGAAATTTATAGTACTAAATGCTCACATCAGAAAGTTAGAAATACCTCCGATTAACAGCCTAATATGTCAACTAAAAGAACAAGAGAACCAAAAGCAAACAAACCCCAAAGCTAGCAGGAAACGAGAGATAACCAAGATCAGAGCTGACTGAAGGATATAGAGACATGAATAACCCTTCAAAAAATCAATGAATCCAGGAGCTGTTTTTTTAAAAAAATTAACAAAATTGTTAGACCACTAGCTAGACTAATAAAGAAGAAAAGAGAAAAGAATCAAACACAATCAGAAATGATAAGGGATATGTCACCACTGACCCCACAGAAATATAACCAGCCACCACAGAATACTATAAACACCTCTATGCGCATAAACTAGAAAATCTAGAAGAAGCAGATAAGTTCCTGGATACATATACCTTCCCAAAACTAGATCAGGAAGAAATTGAATCCCTGAATAGACCAATAGTGAGTTCTGAAATAGAGGTGGTAATACATAGCCTACCAACCAAAAAAAGTCCAGGACCAGTTGGATTCACAGGTGAATTCTACCAGAGGTACAAAGAGCTGATACCATTTCTACTGAAACTATTTCAAAAAATTTAAAGGAGGGACTCCTCCCTAACTCATTTTGTGAGGCCAGCATCATCCTGATGCCAAAACCTGGAAGATCCAACAACAAAAAACAAAAGATGAGGCCAACATCCTTGATGAGCTTCGGTGCAAAAATCCTCAATAAAATACTGGCAAACCAAATCCAGCAGCACAACAAAAAGCTTATTGATTATGATCAAGCTGGCTTCATATCAGGATGCAAGGCTGGTTCAACATATGCAAGTGAATAAATGTGATTCATTGTATAAACTGAACTAAAGACAAAAACCACATGAATATCTCAATAGATGCAGAAAAGCCTTTGATAAAAATTCAACATTGCTTCCTATTATAATCTCTCAATAAACTCTGTATTGAAGGAACATACCTCAAAATAATAAGAACCATATATGACAAACCCATGGCCAATATCATACTGAATTGGCAAAAGCTGGAAGCATTCCCCTTGAAAACCAGCACAAGACAAGGATGCCCTCTCTCACCTCTCCTATTCAGCATAATATTGGAAGTTTTCACCAGGGCAATCAGGCAAGATAATGAAATAAAGGGTATTCATATAGGAAGAGAAGAAGTGAAATTATCTTTGTTTGCACATGACATGATCCTTTATCTAGAAAACCCCATTGTCTCATTCCAAAAGCTTCTTAAGCTGATAAGCAACTTTAGCAATATCTCAGGATAAAAAACCAATGTGCAAAAATTGCTAGCATTGACATTCTTCACAGAATTAGAAATAAAAACTATTTTAAAATTCATGTGGAACAAAAAAGAAGTCCAAATAGCCAAGACAGTCCAAAGCAAAAAGAACAAAGCTGGAGGCATCGTGCTACCTGACTTTAAACTGTACTACAAAGCTACAGCAACCAAAACAGCATGGTAGTGATAGAAGAACAGAGACATAGAATAGTGGAACAGAACAGAGAACTCAGAAATAAGACTGCACTCCTACAACCATCTGATCTTCAAAAACCAGACAAAACCAAGCAGTGGGGAAAGGATTCCCTATTTAATAAATGGTGGTGAGAGAACTGGCTAGCCATATGCAGAAAATTGAAACTGGACCTCTTCCTTACACAAGTGCAAAAATTAACTCAAGATGGATTAAAGACTTAAATGTAAAACCCCAAACTACAAAACCCTAGAAGAAAATCTAGACAGTACCACTGAGGACATAGGCACAGGCAAATATTTCATGACAAAAATGCCAAAAGCAATTGCAACAAAAGCAAAAATTGACAAATGGTATCTAATTAAACTAAAGAGCTTCTGCACAGCAAAATAAACTATTTTCAGAGTGAATGGACAACCTACAGAATGGGATAAAACTTTCTCAATCTATCCATCTGACAAAGGTCTTATATTCAGCATCTACAAGGAACTCAAACAAATTTACAAGAAAAAAAACCTTATTAAAAAGTGGGCAAAGGACATGAACAGACACTTCTCCAGAGAAGACATACATGCAGCCAACAAACATGAAAGACAGCTCAACATCACTGATCATTAGATAAATGCAAATTAAAACCACAATGAGATACCATCTCATGCCTGTCAGAATGGCTGTTACTAAAAAGTCAGTAAACAACAGATGCTGGTGAGATTGTTGAGAAAAAATGCTTTTACACTGTTGGTGGAAGTGTAAATTAGTTTAACCATTGTGGGAGATAGTGTGGTGATTCCTCAAAGACCTAGAGCAGTAATACCATTTGAGCCAGCAATCCCATTACTGGGTATATAACAAAAGGAATATAACTCATTCTGTTACAAAGATACATGTACATGTATGTTCACTGTATCACTGTTCACAATAGCAAAGATATGGAATCAACCTAAATGCCCATCAATGATAGACTGGATAAAGAAAATGTGGTATCTGTACACCATGGAATACTGTGCAGCCATAAAAAGGAATGAGATCATACCCTTTGCAGGGACATGGATGGAGTTGGAAGCCACTATCCTCAGTGACCTAATGCAGGAACAGAAAACCAAACACCACCTATTCTCACTTATAAGTCAGAGCTGCATGATTAGAACACATAGACACAGGTAGGGGAACAACACACACTGGGGCCTGTTGGGGGTGAGGGAGGGAGAGCATCAAGAGGAATAGCTAAGGGATGCTGGGCTTAATATGTAAGGTGATGGGATGATCTGCACAGCAAACCACCATGGCACACGTTTTCTTATGTAATAAACCTGTACATCTTGCACATGTACCCCTGTACTTAAAAAAAAAAAAACTTTGAGTCCTGATCATAGAATGTTCAATTTATATTCATTCCCTACCCACCCCCACTGCCTCCCCCGCCTTTTTTTTTTTAAATAGACGGAGTCTCACTCTGTTGCCCAGGCTGGAGTGCAGTGGTGCAATCTCGGCTCACTGCATCCTCCACCTCTCGGGTTCAAGCAATTCTCCTGCCTCAACTTTCCGAGTAGCTGGGACTACAGGCGCACGCCACTACCCAGGCTAAGTTTTTGTATTTTAGTAGAGTTGGGGTTTCACTGTATTGCCCAGGCTGGTCTTGAAGTCCTGAGCTCAAGCAGTCTGCCTGCCTCAGCCTCCCAAAGTCCTAGGATTACAGGTGTGATCCACTGTGCCTGGCCTCATTCCTCTTTTAATGATACCTTGAAATACAGTTTAGGTCTTCCTGAAAAAATGAGGATCCAGGCCACTTAGTTTAGCTTAGATCCAAGGGGAGCCATTAAGATCCCACCCTTCCTTAGCAACATTCATTCTCAGGGAAATGATATCTGGACACAGGAAGTATCATCTCATTAGGCCAAGGGCTGGACAGTGGAGGTACTAATGCCTTTGTGCAAGATGTAGTAAATGTGCTTCTTTGCTTTTATACACATTTAGAGTTTTCAGTGTGGTTAAGTGTATACAAGCAGATTAGGGAGGAGAACATTTCTCTAAGTCACAAATCCTATTATGTGACAATGTCTTAAAAGGAACTTTTTTTTTTTTGAAATGGAGTTTTACTCTTGTTGCCCAGGCTGGAGTGCAGTGGCAAGATCTCGGCTCACTGAAACCTCCGCCTCCCTGGTTCAAGCGATTCTCCTGCCTCAGCTTCTGAGTAGCTGGGATTACAGGCATGTGCCACCACGCCCAGCTAATTTTGTATTTTTAGTAGAGATGGGGTTTCACCATGTTGGCCAGGATGGTCTCGATCTCCTGACCTCGTGATCTGCCTGCCTCGGCCTCTCAGGAAAAGGAACTTTTTAAACCTACATAGCTACATAGTAGAGCTTACATTATATATTATTAAATGTAAATATACTTTGTTCTGTTTTCCTCATTAGACAAGAATAGTTATCACCAATATTGTGGTATCGATAATTATTACCTGCAAGAAGTATAATTTATCAACAGTTACTGGAGTATGTTCCATGTGTCAGACCACTTCCAGGCATTGTGGATACAGCAGTCAAGAGAGTTACTGTTCCTCCCTTTGTTGTACTTGTGGGTGTATTGAGGGAGCAAGCAATATAGTGTAGTCACTGCTAAAATTGAAAATGTGGGTATGGAGATGCCACAGAAGCATATAAAAAGGAAATATTACTACGGTATATGGTTTGAGAAAAGCCACCTAAATATGTAAGCTCAGGGGCTGAAGGGTGTAGAGAAACATTTTTATACGTAGTTTTATTTTACTTTAATAAAAATTGTATCATACTTTGTGTGTGTGTTTATATAAAGTGCATAATACTATGTCTTTTTTACTTAATTTTGTGTATGTATGTAGAGATCTTATTGTCTTCAGAAGAACCTTATGAATGTTCATTTGTGTCTGTGCCTTTTTCTAGGATGGAATTATGAAAGCAAGATTGCTGAATGTAGGGTTTGTGCATTTTAAATTTGATAAACATTGCCAAATTTACCATCTAAAATGGCTCTATTTTGATGCTTAATATCTCTATTAAAAGGAGAATTTATGCAAACTGATAATAGAAATTTTACTGAATGGACTCTTCACATAAGGGAAAAATGCAAAGTTTCAAAAAAAAAAAAATAAGATGTTAAACATCACTAGCAATCAAACAAATGCTTATTAAAGTACGAAGCTGTTTTCTCATAATAAACTAGTAGTTAAAGATAATAAAAGTACCCCATGCAGGGAAACCTACAGTGTAACTTCAGCTCTCAACCTTGCAAATAGTGTTGTAAAATCATTTTGGCAAGTGATTTCCTTAAATGAAATCGGGGTAATATGGTGAGAAAGAGTTGAAAAGAAAATGGATATTGGAGTCTTGGTGTCCAAGAAATTCATCTTAAGTTGTAATATCAGATCACTCGGGGAATATTTTCCTATTATATACACTGATATTTTGCCCTTTCTATCATGCTCCTACCCTTACTGAGAATTATATGTCATTAAAATAAAAAAGGATGCCTTTTAGCAGCACTTTCCTCCTTAATATATAACATACAATGTTTTTATTGATTTTAGGTTGTTTAAAGTAGACTTTTTATACCCTGCTCTATGGTTTTATTCTAATTAGGATTGGAAATGATGGTTCTGGTATCAATCAATGTGTTCTCAGAAATAGAGATATATTATCTACAAGAAGTAAAAGGTGATATTCTGTTACATCATTTCTAGCATCAACCAGTTTTGCAGAGTAGCTTAGTTTGTTTTGTTACATAAGTATATTTTGTAATTAAGCCAGTGTAGACACTTTGGGCTACTACCTTGCTTATGATTTTATTCTTTCCCTGATGTGGCACCTAGTGGTTTCCCTGATGTGTCTTTACCAGTTAATTGCCCAAAATAGTGGTAGTAGTGATGGTGGTACAGGACTGGGGATAGGGACAGCAATAATAATAGCAGACACTTACATAAGCTTAGTATGTGCTTTGTGCTATAATCTTTTTTATATGAAATAATTCCCATAATCACAAGAAACCTAAAAGGTAAGTACCGTTTTAATCTCCATTTTACAGATGAGAAAATTGAAGCAGGGAGAGTTTAAGTTGCCCAAGGTCACACTGCTGTAAGTACCATGGCAGGTACTCAGACTACTCAGTCTGATGTTATAGTCTTTTTATAATAATTACATCACATTACTGTAGTTAATAAAAAGGACTTCAGGTTTTGTGCTTGTGAGTATTGTTGAAATATCTGATATTTATGTCGTATCAAAAACTCATTTTAATAAATTAGTTATATTTAAGGAAGATAATATAAATACATAGTACCTATTTAATCTTCAGTCAGTGTTTTCCAATATGCATATGCATCAAATAATGAGAATCCCCTTCATAATTTATCACATGGTGGTAAAAAATTCTTCTCCTGCTACCCAGAGGCTCTGCTTTACTTAATGGTGGTTACAAAAGCTTCCTTGCCCCCACTTACCACTCCTAGGCCCAAATAAACAGAACAAGAAAAATGAGAATTATTTCTCTGGGGATTACTAATTTGCATCAAATTGGACAACTCGCTCTGACAACATCATTGTAGCTCCTACAAGAACTATCATAAGACAGGGCACAGTGTCCTTTGTCCCATTTGTGTAAAATATTTGAGAGCGTATATATATTTTGTTTGTTTGTTTTTAAAGGGATATATATAGTAAGCAATGTATGTTTTAGGGGAGAAGAACAAGCTAGTGGAGAGGAGATGGGAGAGTCTCTTTGTGATTTGAATGCTTTACAAACTCATGCATTTTCTAATTTAAGAAATAACGAACAAAATTGCTTTCAAGAGGTTGAGTTTTAATGCTGAACTTTTGGATTTTGTCTGAAGGAACTATAAGTAATTGTCTCATGAGGTTGCTGTTGCATTTATTCTGAAAGTATTGTTCTCTTAGTTCGTTTATTGTTGCTGTAACAGAATACCTTAGACAGGGTAGTTTATAAAGAAAAGGTATTTATTTGGCTCATAATTCTGGTGGCTGGAAAGTTCAAGATTGGGCATCGGCGTCTGATGAGGGCCTCAGGCTGCTTCAGCTAAGTGGCGGAAAGCAAAAGGGGAGCCAGTGCAGGGGTTTGTTGGTGGGTAGGTTCCAGGCTCTTTTTGACTGCCAGTTCTTCTGGGAACTAATAGAGTGAAAATCCACTCACCCCCAAAGGAGGGCATTAATGTATTCATAAGGGATCTGACGTCATGACCCAAACACCACCCACGAGGCCCCACCTACCAATATTGCCACATTGGGGAACAAATTTCACTGAACAAGATGGTCACTGAGTGAACATACTGTGTCATTCGGTCTCCAGAATAGTGTTCTATAGAAGAAACCGCTCTTAAAGTTTGATGCCAGAATAACACTTTTATTGAGGTTCTCTTTTGTCTCTATTTGAAGCTATGTGCCAGTTTTTCTTTCTCAATATAGTGTCAAAAGCTTTGAGCAAGGTTTTATATATAATCACATATTATGTATACTTTCATCATATTTGCTTTTCTCTTTTATCACTTTACTAAACCTTATTTTTAGTGTATGTGAACTTCTGTTAAGCCACTTCAAAACCAATAGCAAATAATTGTTCCTTGATCTTTTTTCTAATGTTGTTAGTTTTCCAATGTTGTTAAATTGCAGGAAATGGAAGGGAAATGGAGGGGGAAATAACAGAAAATGTATAATTTCACTTGGCTCTAACACTACACTACTGGTGCTATATTAGTAATGTGGACCTTGAGGTATAGGTTGTGGCAGTGGCAGTTACTCGAATTGGACAGCTGTACCACATAGATGACCATTGCATTTCATAACATTGTGTGAGAGAGAGTTTGGACCACATTTCTCCTCTGTTTTGCTATATTTTCTCAAAGTATAACTTCTAGTTATCTTTGTATTCTAACCATAGACACACATCTAAGGACATTGAATGAGTGAGTTAGTCACAGGTTTCTATCAGGAAGCTCTTGGATAAACATAAATTGTGGTTAAGTTTATAGATGTACCCATGTTCTTTGTTCTTTTTCCAATTAAAAGAGAAATGATTTAAATAATTGAAATGGGTAAACAATAAGGAACTATGAAAACATCTATTTCTTAATTAACGGTCATTTTCAGTAGCCTTTATCTTACTGTAATTTGTTGATAAGGTTTTAGATTCCCCCTTTCCTCTGTCTGCCTTTCCCAAAAGTACACCCCAAACAAACTTTTGACTACTTATTCTTGAATAAATGTAATCTCTTAATATTGACTGACTGGAATTAGTTTGAAGAGATAAAATTTTTATTATTTTGAGTCTTTTTTGTGGAGAACTGCAGAATACATTTATTTAGTTCATCACATTTAAGGTGTAGTAGTGTGGTATTGCAATACATCTTCTTCTTCTTTTTTTTTTTTTTTTTGTTTTGAGACGGAGTCTCGCTTTGTTGCCCAGGCTGGAGTGCAATGGCATGATCTCCACTCACTGCAACCCCCGCCTCCCGGGTTCAAGTGATTCTCCTGCCTCAGCCTCCCAAGTAGTTGGGATTACAGGCGCCTACCACCATGCCTGGCTAATTTTTGTATTTTTAGTAGAGACGGGGTTTGCCATGTTGGTCAGGCTGTTCTCGAACTCCTGACCTCCTTTTATCTGCCCACCTTGGCCTCCCAAAGTGCTGGGATTACAGGCATGAGCCACCACACCCGACCTGCAGTATGACATTTTAAAGTGTTTCTTTTTAGTAAAAGATTGATCCTCAAACTGGGTTTTACAAATGTAGCAGGTAAGAGGTAGTGACTGTCAAATGTTCAAAGTTGTGTTTTGTTTTGGTTTGGTTTGGTTTTGCTTTCAAAGGGCACACAAACCAGTCCGATTTGAAAAACACAACTTTACAATAAATGAAGGAAACCTGTTCTCTATGAATATCCCAATTGTAACGATTAGGTCTCACCACAGGACAAGTTGCTACCACAAATTAGTCACATGTGAACAGCAAACTGTCTTTACGAACATAAAGAGGCATTCTAAGTTGTAGCAGACGCCTGCTCTACGAGACATTAATGGAGTAAAATCCTGGAGTATTACAGATAAGCAGTTAGAGTGATGAACAAGGGCTTTATGGTTTGTATAAACAGAAATATAAACAATTTTGTATTTTTCTCAATTATATGTAATTAGTTAAGGTTTCAGGGTAACAAAGTATTGTGTCCCTTTTTTTACAAGCTTATGCTAATGAGGCTAGACTTCAGTATGTATATTCTGAGATTGATGAAAAATGTCTTAACACAAAGAACTGCAAAGAGAATGAACTGCAAAAAGAATTGTGTTTCAGATGTAAACACACATAGTCTGGAAAGTATTTTTTTACATGTTCAATTTTGAATAGGAGAACGTCTCTCCCCAATTCCCAGCATTTCCTGCTCTGTTCCTTCAAAAGCTTTAGAATTTCTTCTTGAATTATCCTTTTTTTTTGTAAATGTCAATTTGAAATTTTAGCTAAAAATAGTATCATTTATTTTTCCTAATATGAAAATACCGAGATACATTTCAGGTGACACTCTTTGTGCTTTAGCTTTATTATATTATACTTTTCAAAAAACAATATGCTGTGAGAATACTTTTGTACTTGAATACATTTTTATTTTGTAATTGAAAGCCACCATCCTTGACATAAATATAACTTGATATTTGAGACTATGCTTTATGTGTGTGAGCGTGCATTCGTGCATGTGAATTGATGGGAGAGAAGGGAACATAAAAAATGTTGAAGAGGAAGTGAGTGGAACTAACTGATTTGTTGTAGAGTCCCAAGGGGCAGGTATAATCTGCAAGCTGTCAGATTCCATTATGGGGACTGTTGCCATCAATCAGAACTGACATTTGTATATCAGAGGTTAGTATAACTAATTATATGTATGTTTATGGAATGTAAACCATGTGACATTTTAGATTTAATCTTTAAATTAAAACATCCGTATAATTTATAAGCTTATCGGTTGACTGAGTATGTGATTATGTATTTTAGAAAGGAAGACAGTAGTTCTTAAATCTTGCAAGCTGTTGCCTGGTCTACACCTATAGTGTTAGAATGTGATTTGTAACAATTCCAGGCTATTTTCACCACAGAAGATGTACTAGGCAAGCATTCTTGAAGGTTGCTCTTTAGCTTAGTTAATAGATTCCAAACATTTTTCAACTAAATGTACCATATTTTATCAATTGTAAGATACATTTTGAAAATATACTTGGTAGTGGCATTTGTTTTGTTTTGTTTTGTTTTGTTTTGTTTTCAGAGATGGAGTCTTGCCCTGTCTCCCAGGCTGGAGTGCAGTGGCATGATCACAGCTCAGCGCAGCCTGGAACTCCTGGGCTCAAGCAATCCTCCCACTTCAGCCCCCTGTAAGACTACAGGCATGTGCAACCACATCCAGTTAATTTTTTTTTTTTCTGGAGGCGAGGTCTCACCGTACTGCACAGGCTGGTGTCAAACTCCTGACCTCAAGTCATCTTCCCACTTTGGCCTCCCAAAGTGCTGGGATTATAGGTGTGAGCCACTGCACACAGCCCAGTGGTATTTTTTCACCTTCTTAGTGACAATAAAATATGGTATAGCTGGAATCAATGGCTCCTGAGATTTGATGATATATAGTATACTATTGTATTTTAGTGGCTATGTTTTGATATTTTATCATTCTGGTTTTAAAAAAGTCACATATGTGATTACACAGTTTGCTCCCGGTTTTCTACAGTCTAAGTACTAAAAATTTCAAAATCAATTTTAAATGTTATAAAGACAAGAAAGTATACTTTTATCTTTAAAATTTGTGTATTCCTTTTGATTCAAAACTTTAAATCTACTTTTTAGCCATATGCTTCAAAGTAACAAACTGTTCCAATAGTCAAAATGATAAATTATTTAAAATTCAATATGATATCAATATGACTTGTATAACTTCCCATCAGATATAACAAGATGAGTTAAACATACAACAGGCTACTTTTATGCATCACATACATTTTTGTGTCTTAAGCCAGATATATATTCTCAATAGTAAAAAATAAAACCTTAGGACTCCATTTTATGTATAATGAAACAATTAAAATTGGAAGGTTTTAAGGATTGAGGTGCATCGTTACCTAGCTAGTTGTTCTTCACTAAAGAAAAACTGAAGCATAGCTTCCAATACACATTTGCTTTGTCAGATCTTTGTTCGAGATCTTCTTCTAGAAGTTTGTTCAAGAAGTTGAAATCTTTCCATAAAATGCCTTCTCTGTTCACACACACATTCTCTCTGCCATTTTTCTCTGTTCACACACATATTTTCTCTCCCTCCTTATCTCTTTCTCTTCCTCTTAATTTCTCTAGTCCTCTCCCTCTCTTATTTACCCCCTCACACTAGCTCCTTCATTCTAAAATAATGGCTATTTTGATTTTGATTTACTTTTTGCTCTTGTTGTTAAAGTACCAGTCTTTCAGTGAGATTGTTCAGACATCCATAGTTGTATTATCAGCCTTCCCTGATTTGTCTTAGTCATAAATATATCATGGGCAAACTTTGTCAAAAGTTTCAGTATATACAGAAAACTATGTATATACTGTGTCTAGTGCTTTCTCTTCACTGCCTTCTTGTTGACTTTATCCGATGTGAAAATGAGGTTGAATTGGCATGACTTTTTCTGATGTATTCGTGCTATCACCAAGTGCGCTTTCTTCCCTAAATGCTAACATATGCCCCCATAAACATGGAATATGAGATTAATCATAGGCCATCCGCAGCTATGGATGCTTTCATTTTTGGGAAGAGACTCCTTGGCAAAGGAGAGAGTGGGAAAGGAGAAGGTAAAAAGTGATTATACTTAATATTATGAATTTTTTTCCATGCTGTTGCACGTAGTTTAATAGTTTATTTATTTTTATTGTATAGCATGTATTTTATCCCACTGTATAAATATATTACTTATTATTTATCCATGTTATTGTTGATGGACATTTGGTTTGTTTTTGATTTTGGAGTATTATAAATTATACAGCAATAAAAATTCTTATACATGTCTTTGGGTGCACATATATGTGTGTTTCTGTTGGGTATATAGTATATTAGGAAATGGAATTGCTGGGTCACAACGCATGCATATTTCAGCTTTACTAGATGTTACCAAGCAGTTTTTCAAAGTGATTGTATAAGTTTATATTCCACCGTTACTTTAGGAGAGTTCTAGTTGCTCTACATCCTCTGTAAACATATCCTCTGTTATTTTCTATCATTCATTCTAACTTTTATGGTAGTTGTATAGTGATGTCACTTCTCTCTGTCTATCTGTCTCTCACTCTCTCTTTATCATTCCCCCCTTCTTTTTTGTGTTTTTTTATTAAATATGAAAAAATATATATTCATTATTTTCAATTAATTGTTTGGCTCATGTGTTAACTGCATATTAAGCACTATAGCATAATTATATACTATAGTTACATTTATATGTGCACCTTAATGTTTATTCCCAAGCTCACATATTGCATTTGTTATGTCTACTTAGACAATTTGATTGTTACTTTTGACACATAGAGAATAATGTTATATTTGCAGATGTTTATCTTTAGGGAAGAAAAAGTTATTTTTAGACTTTCTTTGACTTACAGCCAAATAGAAGAGATACACTGTGTTTTGGCAAATGTGTAAGCCACACTCTTAAGCAGGTATAGAAAATTTTTTTCTCCTTAGAATGATCCCTACTGCCACTTTTCTGTCTGGCCCCCCTCCCCCTCCAAACCACTATTTTGATTTATTTCTCTTCATTCTGGCTCAGTTCTTTGTGAAGCCACGTTAATAACATTAGTCATTTTTAATCTTTGTCTCTAATAACTATTTGTAGAGTAAAAATATGAATAAAACATATTTAGACCCTTTTTTGTTGTTGTTGTTGTTGTTGTTGTTGTTGTTACAAACCCAGAACAGAAAGTTCAGATCCATAGCTGCATAGCTCTGGGATCTAACACTGGAGCTGGTCATCTGCCTGTAATTGCTGCCTGGCTGATACAGTGAAAGTTCCTTCTTGAATCTTTGCATTTTCTGTTTCTCAAGGAGCATTAGATTAATTCAATCTAGTAATTTGTGGGGGAAAAAAGAACCAAATGTAAAATGCACAAACTCATTCCTCTCGGAGGCTTTATTACACGAGAGATTTTATGATCTCTCTCATAATTCTTTAGTTCAAAATTCAAAAAATTCCTTTTGGGACAAGTCTGTGAATACGCGGATTTGGGCGTGACGTTCTTCATTCAGTGAAGCACTATCTCTGGTATGTTTGATATAGGGCTTGTTGTAGTATTCAATTAGTAGATTATGCAAATCATTAAAAGTTTAGATTAAAATTTTTACTGTGTTTTTCTCTTCTCTTCCCCTCCTCAAGGAGGAATACACTTTACCTAGGATAAACAATAATGGAGTAGTCGTTAAACAATTGTAGAAAACAAAATAGTGTAATTTTACTATATACAGCTGTAAGGAAAGTTTTTAATAATAACGTTTAAGATGAATTGGTTCTGGCAAGTCTTAGGTCCTTTGGTTTTGCTGTCAAATTAATGAGCATTTAAAAATTAAATACACCAAATGTTTGGCATAATCGTGGTTTATAAGCATCTCAACTATGCCATTTTCCCAGTGGACAGGCTAAAGTTGGAACAGTTTAGAATACTGATTTTTATACTGCCAAGGGATTAAGTACATGTACTGAGAGAAATTTAAGTTGACAGTAAAAGTATTGACAGTTAACCCAGGCCCTAATGCAAGAGCAGATGGAAATGTCTTGCATGAGTTCCAAATCATTAAGCAAATGTGACACTTTATTTTCTAGCCATTTTAGTTCAGGGAACTGAAGTAGTAAAATAGTATTATAAATGAAGCCACTTCTTACTGTGCTGAAATTAAAGCATAGAAAACAAAATACTAGAAAGGATTTTAAGATTTGGTGGTACAGGTTGAGCATCTCTAATTTGAAAATCTGAAATCCAAAATGCTTCAGAATCTAGAACTTTCTGAGTGCTGACATGATGCTCCAAGAAAATACTCATTGGAGCATTTGGATTTTGGATTTTCAAATTAGGGATGCTTTCTGATATCTGAAAATTTTGATTTTATAATTTGTTACCACATTTTTTCTCTGCAAATTAATAAGAAAGGGCTGGCATACTGTTCTAAGTTGGTGGTGAGGTAGATGGCCACGTTTGTATTTATTATTGTAATTTAATAATCTACTTTGTACCTCTCCTAATATTTACTAATAACAAGCTAGTTTTATATTTTAATGTGCCATTAATTTAAAATTTAGGAGAATTATGGTGTCTTTTTGTTTTACAACATATGGGCATGTTTTTCAATGAAAAGCATTGTTAGTAAGTGATCTCTGGGTATATTTATGATACTATATCTTGGGTTATTTTTAATCTGTCATCCAAAGTAGATTATCGGTAGAGTGAATTGTTGATTTTTCTTTCTTTCCTTTTAATGCTTTCATCATTTTTTAGTCCCTTTTCAAATAAAGACCATTATCAGTATATGCTACTTTAAAAAATAGTGTTCTTACTGTTTTTTTTTTTTTTACATTGTAAGATACTTTTTAAAAAAACATGTGTATTTTGTACACTTTGCCCTACAATTCACTGGCAAATTACCTTCAGTGAGCTTAAACTGCCTAGTATCACAGCTTAAAAAGAGTTCTTCTTGAAATGACTGTTGTCTATAGTAAATTAGATGTAATTCTAGGCTATTCTAAACACTTTTTATTTGATTTATGTAGAGGTGGCCAAAATATTTCTTTCTGAGTATCACAGTTCAATGTTAAATAACCTATGTAACTTTCCCCTTTTAAAATGTGTCTTCTCTTATAGATGCTTGTGACCACACCAGAAAAATGGGATGTAGTGACAAGAAAGAGTGTTGGGGATGTAGCTCTTTCCCAGATTGTAAGGCTCCTTATTCTTGATGAAGTTCATTTGCTGCATGAAGATAGAGGACCAGTATTAGAAAGCATAGTTGCCCGTACTTTACGGCAGGTAAGAGGAAGTTATGTATAAGCTTATTTTGAAGGGATAAATATGTTTTTCAACTTAAAATGTAGCATTTTCACTGTAGACCTGTGTTACAAAGCTAAATCTAATATTGACATAATCTTCATATTTTTAAAAGGGGGAATGTACCTGTTGTCCCTAGTTTTAGACCTCACTGGCTATTCATAAATAGCCCAAACCAAAATTGGTAAATTCCTAATGCCAAGAGTCTTAAGATATTTTCTGTTAACCATTCTTTTCATTAAATGAAAAGACAGGATATCTTAGAATATTCATGAGTTTTTAACTGATGTTTTCTGGTAGATTGTACATATATAGAAAATAGATGAACACTTATTTTTTGACCTAATCAAGAACTCTAGTTTCTTGATTCCTCATTTATTGTCTTTTATTCATATTCTCTTGCCTTTATTTTCTTCTGAAATAGCTAAGATTCCATGACTAATCACTTATCTTCTTAATAACTTTAACTTACTTATCCCCTGAGCACCTGACAAAATTACAACAGTGAATCAATTGAGCCATGTCTGTACTTCCAGCCAGACTGCCGATTACTAGTGGGAAATATTGCTGGAGATGCTGACTAGTATCAGTAGACGTTCATAGACTGTGATTTAGAGTAGACATTCCTAGACTACATTCACATGGATCCTTGGGATTACCCTGTAACTTCTAAGCAGCTTTTCGTCTGTGTCCCTAATGTGACCCTCTTCAAGCTTCACCAGTTTCCTTTCTCACTCTTCATCACCCTGTCATGCCGTATTCTTATACAATAGTATTTTGTACTGAAATGGAAATAGAGTCCCTCGTGCTTGAACTCTCTCAATTTCCATTCCTTTTCCCTCCTCTCCCTAACCAGGAAAATGCCCAGCCCTTCCCACCACAAGCATACCCTTCATTCCACCCCTTACTCGTTTCTCAGAGGTCCTTTCTCCCCTTGCCTTAGACCCCATTTCTTTCACTCTGTAAGTTACCCCTTTTCTTTCTCCTATGTCTTTAAGTTCTCTCTCAGTGGGCACTGTCTTTTTGACTTAAAAGGATTGCAAAGTCCCTTCTGTCTTTACCAAAAAATTTCCTTAAACCTATCCCTCACCACCACCTACTGTCTGGAAATATTAATCTCAATTCAATTTCCCTTTTGACTAAACCACTGCAGTCTGGTCATTGCTCAAACATAAGTAATAAAATGTTTTTACCAAGATCACCAGTTACCAGTTCTCAAACCTGTTTTTTTTTTAACTTTTGATTCTACTCATTTTTGATGCTTAATACTACTCATTGTTTCCTCAGTCTTGAAACTCTTTGCTCTTTGACTCTGTGATCCCACCCTGTCCTGGTTACTTTCACTTGTGTGTTTTTTTTTGTTTTTTTTTTTGTTTTTTTGTAGCTACTCTTTCTCAGCCTTCCTTGCTTCTTCCCTGTTCTCAATCTTGTAATGTTTATTGTTTATGTTCTCTAAGACTCCGTCACTTGCCATCTTCTCTCTTTATTCTAAATATTTACTGGGGAAAAACACTTCTATGCCCATCTTACCTAAATTATGTATATATAATATGTATATGATGTATATGCATGTGTGTGTGTATATATATATATTATATATATGTGTCATATATATAATTATAAATATATATATATATATATATATATATATATATATATAATTCCCTAATAACTTCTGGCCATATCCAAACCCAGTTGTATATTTCTACTCTGATATCCCATAAACATCTTTTGCCCATAAACATGTCAGAACTCTTGTCATCTTCCCTATATACCTAGATACGATATCATAATCTACTTGATTCCGAAGCCAAAACCCTGGGAGTCATAGTCAGGCTTTCCCTCTTCCTTAATACTTTCTTCCATCCCAATATCTAATTAGATATCAATTCTTTATATTTTTTTCTAAATACCTCTGATTCAGATTCAAGTGTGGAAATGTAAAGAAGTAGGTACAATAAGTGACATAATGTATTTTTTAAAAGTTCGAAAGTGTTTGTTTTTCATTTTGTAAATTCACCATAAAATTCTAGATGGATTAATGATTTAATTGTTTCAAACAAAGCTCTCAGTTCAATGAAGAAAACATAGGAGAGTTTTTTTTAAAAAAATAATCTTGTTGTTCTATGCAATATGCAAGCTCAAGAAGTTATAAATGAAACCTATGTCACATTTGGATGCATAAATATTTTAAAATTCTGATCAGTAAGACACACCCCTGAAATTTTAAATGTGAGACCAAATAAATTATTTGCAACACATAAAACAACTTGTTAATATTATTTATATTTAATAGGTTTCTATAAGAAAAATAATCAACTGGAAGGAACATTTTACAGTAGAAAAAATTATTGAGAAATATTTAAAAGATGCTTAAAAAGAATATGAATCAGTATGAGACATTTCTGTTCTATCACATTAACAAAAATAAAAACGAAATGGAATTTGAAAGCATCTAGCAAAATCAACGCTGTGTTTTCACTTCTATATATCAAACTGTGGAAATAATAGCACAAATTTATAAAGATCTAGTAATACCAGTATTCATTGAAGCTCTTTTTTTAATACAAAATATTTTAGTAATATCTTGAATATTCAACAATAGAAGAAATTGTTTAATGAATTATAGTATATTTATGCAATGAATTGCTGCTTTGCAGCCTTTAAAAAAAGTGAGAATGAACTGTGTGCTCTTCTTTACATTCGGGGAGCTATACCACAATAATCTATACATTCCACATTTATTTATGTGAACTGGGCTTAAAAGATGTTATATTATTCACTGAAAAAGCAAGCTGTTCTGTATGTGTAGCACAATCCCATTTGTGTAAGAAAAACATGTGCAGTATATTTATGTTTTTATTCATTCATTCATTCAGTTAATGAACATTTATTAAACACTTACACATGTACCAGCTACATAGTTCTAAGTGCTATAGATATAGTGATAAACAAAACAAAGTTCTTGCTTACACTTAGATTTTAGGCTGGTGTAGAATTGGGTGCATATGCATGAAAAGATATGCAACAAGTTGAAGAGTGGTTTCTTTTCTTTCTTTTTCAATTTCAACTATTATTTTAGATTCAGGGGTACATGTGCAAGTTTGTTACATGGGTATATTGCATGATGCTGAAGTTTGGATGTCATTCTTCATAGAATTAGAAAAAACTATTCTAAAATTAATATGGAACCAAAAAAAGAGCCCAAATAGCCAAAGTAATCCTAAGCAAGAAGTACAATAAAAGAGACATCACACTACCCACCTTCAAACTATACTATAAAGCTACAGTAACCAAAACAGCATGGTACTGGTACAAAAACAGACACATAGACCAAATGGAACAGAATAGAAAACTCAGAAATAAAGCCACATACCTACAACCATCTGATCTTCAACAAGGCTGACAAAAATAAGCAATGGGGAAAGGACTCCCTCTTCAATAAATAATGCTGAGATAACTGGTTAGCCATATGCAGAAGAATGTAAATGGACCTTTACCTTTCACTATATACAAAAATTAACTCAAGATGGATTAAAGATTTAAATGTAAGATCTTAAACAATAAAAATCCTACAAGAAAATCTAGGAAACACCATTCTTGACACTGGCCTTGGCAAAGAATTTTTAGCTAAGTCCCCGAAAGCAACTGTAACAAAACCAAAAATTGACAGGTAGGACCTAATTAAACTAAAAAGTGGGAGATAGCAATTGCAACAACAACAACAAAAAATTTGACAAGTAGGACCTAATTAAAAAGTGATTTCTTCAGTAGAAATGAAATTGTAGAAATATTTGGGACTTGTTTACTTTTTACCACATAAATTAAAAATATGTGTATATGCACACACATACAGAAAACACACAGGGTTGAAATTTTCAAAGCTGATTTATAAAACCAGCTTTTAGCTAAAATCCAATTTAAGAGCAATTTTTAAAATCCAGGTAGTTGTCAGACACAGATGAAGTATGATGAAGTCTGAAACTATCATCTCTATTCTCTAGGTCCATTATTCCTACAAGGCATGTGCTCTGGCCCACATGTTATACATGAGGTCTCATAAAAGAAGCATTCAGGGCATGATTTACACAAAGGAGAGCTATTTTGATTATGAAATGTTTTGATTTTATGTCCTGATACTTAACTTACTGATGTTTTTCAAGGAGCCATACTATTACAATCCATACACCACATTTATTTGCAGTGAGCCACCTACAGAGACCATGTCCATCCAGCAAAGATAAGGACTTTCTTCAACTATAGAACATTAGAGGCCAAGTAAATATCATTAGTATATTTTCCAAGAGGTCTATCATTCATGATTACAAGGGATTTTACTGTTATAGTACATCTTTCTTTCCTGAGCATCCCCAGTAGAAAAAGAAAACAGATTGTAGTCTTAGTGCTAATCCTTTCTGTATGTATGTACAAAGACACATAGATATAACATTATATATCATAATATTTTTAAGCAGGCATTATAACCTTAGAAAGTTTACAAATAATTTTGTAAATTGTTTATAAATATATAATTTTTTATTTAAAATATAAATTAATTGTAAATAGTATAGTTTCTATATAAAATCTATAAATGTTATAAACTATATCAAACTATATATTATAGGTTTATTATGTATTATATGCAATATATTATTATATAAATATATAGTGTATCAATATATAAGTGTATATCATATATATTATATATGTATAATAATTTCATCTTCACATTGTCATCTGTATATTGTAATCAAATTCTAATTATATCGTTTTGTACTACTTTGCCCATAAACCTTTGCTGACTTGCTGTTTGTTATCTTAAGAAAAATGGTCAAATTGTTTAGCTGGACGTTAAAGACTACTAATATTAAAGCGCTGTCTGTCTAATTTTAACTTCTACATCTTCATCAGCTACCAGAGGTTCCAGCCACACAAAACTATTTGATCTTTCCCCTACCTCCTTTTAAATATCATTGACCCTCTTTCAAAAACGAAACTAATCTAACTTGAGGCAGAATGTGTTGTTGGTTGTGAGATAAGGATTGTAAATGCCAAATTATGTAATGCCTTCTTTTTTTGTAACTCCACCCATCCATCTATGGAAAATTTACTGTTCTTTTGAATCCATCAAATGCCACTTCTATGATGTGTTTCCTAGTTACTGAATCAGAATGAATTACACCTTTTCTGTGTTTTCTTTGCACTCCCTTTTTTTACATAGTTTTAACGCTTATGATGATCTTCCTTATAATTTCACAACTTACTATAGTGAATTCTGTCTTCATCTAAATGCCTCACTAGAATTCAGCTTCCTTGACAGATGTGTCTGTGTGAATCTTTTCATATTTTCGAAGTATTAGTACAGTGCTCATAGTTATTTTTATTACAAAACAAAGCTCTTATTTTTATTTGTTCCTTGTGATTACCAAATGTTCCCAGTAGATGGCACATCACATCACACTTCAACATTTGTAACTAATGTAGAAGTGCCTTCCAAAGCTATTGGAAGGCAATGTAGATTTTGTTCAGGTTCTGAACTTACATGATGATATTAGGCACTAAATTCATAATACACTTGGCATGATTGGGAGAAATTTGGAAAAGATAAAAGTCTAAGAAATCTTAAATCTATTTTATTTAACAACATGAACTAATAATTAACCTACTTTTAGTAAGTAGGGAGACTTTATCAGAACTAAATTTTATGTGAAGGAAAACATCATAGAAATATACTGTCTAATCCGAGCTAATGATAGGGAGAAAGCTATAAATTTTTAATTTTTTGTAATTGTCAATAATTAATACTTTTAAGGTAAATAGGTATAGTGTATAGACTTGAAGGTTTGGCTTAAGACATAACATTCCAGATTATTTCTATTTCAAATAAAGTATTTCTCACATAGATTTAACTATATTAAATAACTGTATTATAATTATACTTTTAGATTTAAAAATGTTGTTTTAAAGTGGATTTTTAGCAGAAAAATGTCTGGTGTTTGCCAGAGTATTGTGTCTTTAACATCAAACAACCTTAAAAATATATTCTGTAACTATTGTGTCTTAAAAAATGATTTTAAAACCAAATATCACTTTCATTTCTTTCCAAATCACCACTAGTACTACATAGAACTGTGGGATAATTAATCGTTCTAATTACTGTATGTTGTGAAAGAGATTTCTTTAAAAATAGGTCTGGTGATTATTTCCCCTTATTTAGGGTTCCTTGCTTTTGATGGGATTTGGTTTGGGGTTTTGCCAATATCTATAAGATTTCTTCAGTGAAAACAAATTTATAATAAGATACTATATATGTATTGGTACTTTAATTTTTACCCATCTCTACTTTTTTGATCCCTCCCTTGTTATGTTTCTGCAAGTAGTCTCTGCATGTGTGGATCTATGTCTTATTCAGCACTGCATCCCTAGTGCCTACAGATTAGGTCCTAACCCAGTGTTGATGGATGGATGACTCTGAAAGTATTAATATTATTCACATTGAACTACTTTGCTTATACCTATTGAGTCTCCTAGACTGAGTAAAATTATTAACAGCTTACTCAGAAAATCATACTGATATATTTTAATTAACAAATGAATGGAAGTTTTTGGCCATCCCTTGGTTTTATCTTTTTAGGTATGTTACATCATAATCAGATAATATGGCCTATATGATTTTTAGTTTTTGGAATTTACTGAGTTTTTTGTGACCTAAAAATACATTTAGTTGTCACAAAGTTCTTAATTCACATTTTTATTTTTATTTTTATTCATGTATTTATTTTTGAAACAGAGTTTTACTCTGTCACCGATGTTGGAGCTCAGTGACATGATCATATGGGCTCAAGTGATCCTCCCACCTCAGCCTCCTGAGTCGTTGGGACTACAAATGTGTGCCACCACACCAGTTAATATTTTTTTTTCTTTTGGTAGAGATGGGGTTTTGCCATGTTGCCTAGGCTTGTCTCAAACTCCTGGGCTCAAGCAAGCCGCCCACCTTGCCTCCCAAAGTGCTGGGATTACAGGTGTGAGCCAACACACTCACCCCTCATGTGTATTTTTAATTATAGTGGGTATGGAATTCTACTATGTATCTGTTAAATCAAGCTTGTGAATTATGGGCTACAATGTCTGACATGATAGGACCCTCAATTGACCTCTACACTCATCTCTGTCTAGAGTTTTTAGAAGTCCTATTAATAGGACAAATTATAATGTTTTTTGGTTAAATTAATTTAAATAACCCATATTTAATTAAAATAATCCATATAGGTGGAATCCACACAGAGTATGATAAGGATTCTCGGACTGTCTGCAACTTTACCTAACTACCTCGATGTTGCCACATTTTTACATGTTAATCCATACATTGGACTTTTCTTCTTTGATGGCCGTTTTCGACCAGTACCTCTTGGACAGACATTTTTGGGGATTAAATGTGCAAATAAGGTAAATACTCATTTTAATTCTTATCTAAAAATATTTTTGTTGACTTATTATTGAATACTTGTTTGGAGTTAGAGACTCCAAAAGACCATTTCAGCCTTTTGTGGTGTCCACTGAAATGGCCTTTTGCAGAACATTGAATCACATTACAGATGTGATATCCTAGACAAAATCAAGCATACTTCCTCAACTATTTGTAGTAGAGTAAGTCCTCCTATAGAAAGTAGCTTGTCATAGTTTGCATTGGTGTTTTCCATGTATGTTACGTATTTTCAGCTATTAAAAGTTTTACGTTATTTTGACGTGAAATGATTGAAGGGCATTGTGGAATAATAAAAACTCCAATTAAACAAGTAATATATATTGTGATGATATTCATTTAATAGAAATAATAGTACCTCATACTCAATTGAAAATAATATCATAGTAGCAACCATCAAGGAAGGTGTTCTGTTTAACTTACAATGTTCTATGATTACCTTTATTATTATATATATAAATGGCATTTCTAAAATTCTATGCTTTAAAAAGTTTATCTAATTTTAAAATTAGTACTACCTATACTATTCACACTATTAGAGTACTTATGATAGGCTTATTTTATAATATGAAGGAAAACATTACTTAAAATTTAAACAATTATCATCCTATTCAACAACACCTATTTTTTGTGTAGAAGGAATAGTTTTAGGAAAATATTTACAGGCCTTTTGACATTTTTAATAAAAGAGAACAAGATAAAATCATGTTACTATGTCAACCTTAGTCTTTAATGTATTACTGTCACTTCTTGTCTAAAAACAATTTCATTAGTAAAATAGAGCCATTTTTACCTTGTACTATTATAGGTAAAATATTCACCTAAAAATATCCAAAGTGACTGTTACCATAATACAACAGTTAATGTCCTGTAACTGCATTGCATGAATGTTAGGTGTCTTTAGAATTCTAGGGAGTCATTTTAGACTTGTACACAAAGGGAGAGTTTATGATATACAATTCTGCATATTTTAAGCTTCATAATTGTTTCAAGTGCTGCTTTTCAGAAATATTTGCTGCTTGTTTTTTTCAGTTATGTTTCAATATAATTTGATTATGTAGTTCATTTTTAACATATCAGTAGGATAGATGTAGACCTTCTTTTATAGCTTTAGAATGTTTTCAGCTTTATAATTTAAAAGATAAGCAGATGATTATCACAGAGAGATATAAAGAGAAGACAGTTGTTTCACATGCTTGTCAGCCACCTTAAACCTTATTTTCTTTCAGTTGCATCATACAAATTGTTAAATCACCTAAAGCTAATTAAATCCAAAGTATATTTCACTACAGTACGTTACCATCATAATCATGAAAGGAATGGGAGAATGATGTGAGTGTTATGTCTAATTTGGAATAATGGCTTTGGCCAGAAATGAATCCAAAGTACACTGAAAAAGTTATTGGGAGTTTTGTCTTTTGTAGAGGGTGGGGATTGTTTTTAAATTATTCATGAGGAGTAAATTATCCTATGATCATCTCATCCTACTTAGCCGTTATAGGTCATAAGAGTTCCAGTATTTTAAAATGTTTACATTAATGAAACAAAAAATCCAAATCATTGTCATTTTAGATGTACATGATGCTTTTCATCCTCTTCTAAACTCTTACTAATACATGTTAAGTGGAGAGATAATAGGCTGGGTCACATGCCTACTCCTTTGGGTTAGCCACCTTACCTTTTTGGTTAGAAGCTTTCTCATCATTAATAAGGAATATGAGACCCTTTTAAATTTTTTTAAATTGATACATAGTAGATTTACATATTTTCTGGGCATATGTGGGCATAATACATTCATAATTATATGAATACATTGATAATTATATGCATGTATTAACTTACATGAAAATCTTCGGTCAAATCTATTTGACTGAATATCAAATTAGTTTAATTGGGATATCCATAACCTTAAATACTTAGAGACCCTTTCTTAATTCATAAATTTTATATTAGATTTCCAATTAATCTGAAAAATGTTTCTGTAGAAGCATTCTGAATAGCAACCTCTCTCAATATACATTACAGAAATAGTGTGTTACCTTATGTTTTAGCTCTGTGTGCCATTTGACACTTGATCCGTAGTGTTCTCGCAACATTTAGAATCATACAGGAAAGGTGTGCTCTATGGTTTATATAATGAAATATATGGAAAATAGCCTGGAGAATGGGCTTCTCAGAAAAGCAGAGAGAACTTTAAAAATTATTCTAAAATATTTGTAACTAACAAGAATATCCTTAAAGATACTGTATTTTAAAAACTTGGTGGGTTTAGAAAGTTAGTACTCAGAAACTATTATCTGAGTTACTCTATTTGTACTTTTAAGTTGCGTTGCATATTTTTTAATGGATTGTTATATGTTATATGTTTATGAGGTATTTGATACCTCTGCATTCTAGATAGCCTGAAAGCTTAAAAAATGCATTGTAATTGGCAAAATTTTATTTGTAGTTAGAAAGTTTATAATTGTTTCACATGATTTTTTTTATGTTTTAAAATCTTCAAGATGCAGCAGTTGAATAACATGGATGAAGTATGTTATGAAAATGTTTTGAAGCAAGTAAAGGCTGGACACCAGGTACACTTATTTTATCTGCTTTTACACTTATTTATCTGCTTTTAGAGAGTGCTTAATGATAAAAATTATTAATATTTACGCTCTTCAGAAGAAAATTTTTCTTTAATTCTGAGGCAATGACTCAGAGGTTCTAATTCTTAATAACTGCTTTAGCCCAATGGGTAAGTCATAAAAATATTCATAGATATTATCATCCCAGTATTGATAGGTCGTGCTATTTTGTTTGCCATTTTTAATTTTAAATATTATATTCTTACTGTTTTCATGAAGCAATATCAATTGAAATGTAATATATATAATAAAGTTCTGTATTGTTTGATGGTGTTTAGAAATTAAGCACTTTTATTTTTTAATTCTCCATGTTCAATATACTCCCATCAAGATTGTTAAAGACAAAGTGAAGTGATAATAATTGCTTATATAAAAATTGTCCACTTCCCAATTGTTCACGGTTCTTTGAATAACTTTATTATGTCATTTCTTAAAACAATGTGAGCCTTTTATGACATGTAAAGTGTTTTCCTGGCCTTTAGGTTGTTAAATTCCTTTTAAGAGTAGTGAAACCTTTTTTTCCCAGACTAAATCTTGTTTGCAACTCCAGTATATAAAATAAATCAAAGATGATTTGAACTTGAGAGCATGGGACACTGCCTCCTTAAACATTGGAACACTGAGCATTCTTGAGGCATTTTTTCTGTTTTTAGGAAATAATTTTAAAATCACATTCATAACTAATCTCTAGAGATTGTGCTTGGTTTTAAGAATAACTTTTTCGGAAATCACAAGTATTTTAAGTTGTATACTAGCAAGAATAATAGTTGCTAACCTTTTCTAGTTCTTAATAAATGTATGAAGCTGGTAAGATTATCTTATACTTACTGACCAATTGAATTTTCTCTGCAACCTATGAGGCAGGTACTATTATCTTCACTTGACAGATGAGGAAAATGGAGTTCTTTGCAAAATAAAGTAACATGTTCAGGTCATTCTGCTAGTGCACTTTCAGATCCAGGCCATGAGCTGCTAACTATTGTGACATATCACTTTCTTTGCATTTATTTTATGTCATTGTTCTCCTTTGACCCTCATAAAAAACTATTTTGTGAGTTGCATTATTTATCATTTTAAAAATAAAGAAATATAAAATGCCAATATTCTTTCTTTAAATTAAAAAAATCCTACTAAATAAAAACTATTTGTTCTAGGTCAGAGGCTGGCAGAATTTTTCTGTAAAGAGTCTGATAGTAAATATTTAAGGCTTTATGGGCCTTATGTTTTCTGTTGCAGCTCCTTCAACTTTGCTATTTAGCATGAAAGCGGCTATGGACAATATTTGAACAAGTGGGTGCAACTGTGTTCCAATAAAACTTTATTTACAAAAATAGGCGGCTTGCTGGCTATAATTTACCACCTCTGTTCTGGATTGCCTCGTGAGGTTTTATTTGTAGTGTATGTGTGATGATCCCAAAATGCTGTCTAGAGAAACTTTTGAAAGCATTTCAAAAAAGATTCTAATGGAATGTCCCGTATAGCCTTCTTTGCAAGAGTATCATAAATTCAGTGTAAGTAGCTAGATGTTATCACCATGCACATTTATTTCCAAGTTTTAGATTAGAAAATATATAAACTATATTGTTAGCTAAGGAATGTACCTGTGGTCTGTAAACTCTTTTTGTATAGGGAATATCAAAAAGATTCAGTAAATATTTAAATGTTTTCTCAATTTAGTTTTTTTAAAAATACAGTTTTTTTAAGAGAAGTTTTAGGTTCACAGTAAAATTGAATGGAAAGTAGAGTTTCCATGTGCTCCCTACTCCCACACAAGCACAGTGTCCCCAGTACCAGAGGGATAATTTGATTCAATCAATGAACCTACATTGACATGCAGATGTTACTCAAAGTCCACAGTTTACGTTAAGGTTAACTCTTTGTTTTGTACATTGCATGAATTTTGAGAAATGTATAATTACATGTATTTGCCATTATAGTTTCATACAAATTTGTTTCACTGACCTAAACATCCTCTATGTTAAGCCTGTTTTTCTGTCCTCCCGCTTAACTGCTGATCTTTTTACTCTCTCCATAGTTTTGTTTTTTTCTGGAACATCTTGTAGTTGGAACCACATAGTATGTAGCCTTTTCAGATTAGCTTTTCTTCACTTAGTGATAGGTATTCTAGGTTCCGCATGTCTTTTCATGGCCTGGTAGCTCAGTTCTTTTTGGTATTGAGTAATACACCATTATCCTGGTGTGCTAATTTGTTTATCTATTCACCTGCCAAAGGACATATTGGTTGCTTCCAAGTTTGGCAATTATAAATAAAGTAGCTGTAAAATCCATGTGCAGGTTTTTGTCCGGACGTAAGTTATCAACTCGTTTGAGTAAATAATAAAGAGTATAATTGCGCTGGGCATGGTGGCTCATGCCTGTAATCTCAGCACTTTGGGAGGCCGAGGCAGGTGGATCACGAGGTCAGGAGATGGAGACCATCCTGGCTAACACGGTGAAACTCTGTCTCTACTGAAAATACAAAAAAGTTAGCCGGGCGTGGTGGTGGGCGTCTGTAGTCCCAGCTGCTGCAGAGCCTGAGGCAGGAGAATGGCGTGAACCTGGGAGGTGGGGCTTGCAGTGAGCTGAGATGGTGTCACTGTGCTCCAGCCTGAGTGACAGAGCAAGACTCCGTCTCAAAAAAAAAAAAAAAAAAAAAAAAGAGTATAATTGCTAGATCATATGGTAGGAGTATGTTTAGCTTTTTAAAAAACTACCAAACTATCTTCCAAAATACCTATACCATTTTTCATACCCATTAGAGAATTTCTGTTGTTCAACATCCTCACATCCTTGCCAGCATTTGGTTTTGTCAATATTTTGGATATTGGCCATTCTAAAAGGTGTGTAATGGTATCTTGTTTTAAGTTGTATTTTTCTAATGACAAGTGATATTAAGCGTCTTTTCATATGCTTGACATTTGCCCATCTTCTTTGGTGAAATGTCTTTTCAAGTCTTTTGCCCATTTTTAACCAGGTGGTTCATTTTCTTATTGTTGGGTTTTAAGAGTTCTTTGTATATTTTGTTAACAGTCCTTTATCGGGTATATATTTTGGAAATATTTTCTTCCAGTCTGTTACTTGTCTTCTCATTCTCTTTCCTCTTATTTCTCTTAGTGTTTTTCAGCAGAGTTATAAATTTTAATAAAGTCCAGCTTGTCAATTATTTCCTTTATGTCTTTGGTGTTGTATATAAAGAGTTACTGCCATATCCAAGGTCACCTTGATTTTCTGTTATGTTATCTTCTAAGACTTATAATTTTGTGGTTTTCCATTTACTTCTTTGATCCATTTTAAGTTAATTTTGTAAAAGATATGAGGTCTGCGTCTAGATTCATTTTTTTTGCATATTGATGGCCAGTTGTTTCCAACATCATTTCTTGAAAGACTATATTCACTCCTTGTTCCTTAGTCAAAGATATGTTAACTGTATTTATGTGGGTCTATTTCTGGGATCTCTGTTCTGTTTCATTAATCTGTTTGTAAGTCTTAAAGTCAGATAGTGTCTGTCCTCTGACTTTGTTTTTCTCTTGCAATATTGTGTTGGCTATTCTGGGTCTCCATTTAATTTTGAACTGTGAATTAATAACATTTTGCATCATAATTTTTAATTGTGGTGGCATTTCTTCCATCACAAGAGAACCTTTTCTAGTCTATGATAGTTTTTTGTTTTTTGTTTTTTTGAGACAGAGTTTCACTCTTGTTGCCCAGGCTGGAGTGCAATGGCACAATCTCAGCTCACCACAACCTCCACCTTCCGGGTTCAAGTGATTCTCTTACTTCAGCCTCCCAAGTAGCTGGGATTACAGGCATGTACCACCACACCCGGCTAATTTTTTTTGTATTTTTAGTAGAGACAGGGTTTCACCATGTTGGTCAGGCTAGTCTTGAACTCCCGACCTCAGGTGATCCACCCACCTTGGCCTCCAAAAGTGCTGGGATTACAGGCGTGAGCCACCATGCCCAGCCCTATAGATTTCATTATGAATGAGTACTCTTAAATATTTCTTCTCTTTTTAATTAATGGAAATTAAAATATAAATACTTTACTGTGGGACACATAGTAGATATTTTATCTTTTTAATCTAGTCAGGAAAATACCTACCACATCTTACGATATCTTTTGTAACTGATCAGACTTGCATGCATTATGAAAAAATCTTAAGAGGCCACTAATAGAAATGTTATTGTGTTGCCCCTAGAAATTAAAGCAATTGTTATTTTTCTGTCATAGTTAATGCTTAATGACCAGGTAAGGAGGTACCTGGTACTTTAGTATGGAACATAGGATTGCTTCGCATTAGAATAAGTTACTTTTTTAGAGTAAAAAGAGAAATTTCTGAAAATTTTTTCCTATTGAGATTGATAAATAAATGTAGCCATGTATAAACACATAAATAAACATAGACTATTGTAAATTCAAGCTTATATGAGTAAATAGTTTAATAATGCTATTACTGCCAGTACCACAGCTATTTTGAGGCTTTAGAAGCTACGGGTTGCTTAGCCTTTTAGGGTTATAGCCTTCATCATACTATTTATAATTATTATTGAAACGTATTTGTTATATGACTCTAGCTTTTTTATTAAGATGATGTTACATTTTAAAATATTTATTTAAAAAATAAAATGCAGCTGTATCCCCAAATGTTGGGAAAAGTAGCAGTTATATCTTCTATTTTAGATAAAAACCCAAACATATGTTGTAATATAGGGGATCCTAGGAGAACTTTCCTCTCTATCTCTTCTGTTATAATTCCCTCACTGTAGTAGGGACTAAGATGCCCCCTTAGGAATCATTAATTATAAAACTTGGATGCTGGCTAGGGGCGTTTAGTCAGTAGAGATGAGATCTTACTGCCAGCTCTTTTATTTTTATTGTAAATCCATTCATTGCCTTACTTTTCAAAATGAAAGGTGACTGAGGAGGGCAGGCTCTTACTATGGTAAATTCTGATAGGACAAAGTCAGTTGGAGGGCTAGTTTCACAGTAGTTGTGCATGGTTAGAAAGGATAGACTTGGATGGGATACCCAAGAGAAGTCTTCAGGTTACCAGGGGCTGGTTGCTCTAGGGCATGAAGAACTTAGGAATGGAGAATGCACACAGCTGAGGCAGAATTTAGAGATAAATATCACCTCTCCATCTTTTGTGTGCATATTTTTCCATCCATGAGCTCTTTAAGAATGTGTGACTTCTAAGTTATTTTCTTGTCTGGCTAAAAATGCCCTGTGGGTAATTGTGTAAAGTATGATTGCAGTTTAAGAGTCTACTAACAAACTTTTGGATCTGAGATCGTGTCCAGATTTGTATTTTAGTGCCTTACTGCAAAGAAGAATTAGAGCAGGATAACTATGATCCTTCTTTAAGATGCGTGCCCTAAGAAGTAAGGTTTAGTATACAGGTCTCACAGTTTCTGTTTTTGAATGATTAGTGATGACATTCGTTTTCCGTAAGAGTGGGACTTCAGGTTTTGTAGAAATACCTACATATCTCCTATACTGTTTGTTAGCTATAAAAATAAAATGACAATATTAAAATTGTTTATAGTTTTCTATTATTTTACCATTTTAACATTGTAATTGCAGTTTTATACATTTTCCATTAGTCTTTTATCCATTCACACATGTGCCTTTTAATTTTGCTCCTTCAAACTTAATATTAATTATTAGTTATACTGCATTACTAAATTATAATTATACCATATATACAGTTTTATATTCACTTTTTCTTAATGAATAATAAACATTTTTTAATGTTTCTACATGGTCTTCACAATTTTAATGTTTGCAAGAGAGAAAAAGGAATCTTTATTCAGGTTCTAATTTTCAGATACCATATAAGTCTCTTTGGACTTTTAACCTTCCCAGTCCTCTGACATAACATGATTATTTCTCTTTGTTAAAGGGAGAAATGAACCTAAGGCATGTTAAGCAGCTTCCCAAGGTCACAGAGCTAGTTAAGAGAGGCACCAGTACTTAAATGCAGGTGTTTGTGTTGATAAAACCCATAATGTCTTCAGAACTTGACACTGTCCCTTTGAAATTAAGCTGATATTGGTTATTATTGGTTATTCCTCCATTATTAAGTACGTTAAATGTTTGCAGTTTTCTGTTATTAAAGATTATGCTACTGTAGTGATTATCTTTCTACCTGTTATTTTTGTTTAAATATTTACTTTAAATAAATTTCCTAAAATGGACTTTTGGCAGAAATGGCCACATTGTGTGGTCTTGCCGTATGACCATAATGTATACCCAATGAATTAAAACATTTTGTTGTCACAGGAGACCTACATAGGATTTTATAAACATAGGCCATTTCTTCTGAATACTGTTATCAATCTAGTGCTATGTAAGGTTATGATCTAATGTATGTTTGCCATTTTGGATTTTTTTTTTTTTTCGGTCTTAAGGCATAGAAAACAGAGTGATGTCATACCAGTGAAGTTTTTTCTTAATTGGCAATTGTTACCTCTAAATCACGATTGCAATAACACATGTATTGCACACGATTTGTTCATGTATTGGTTTGGATGTACACTTATTTTCAATTAGTAAAATCTATTCTTTCTTGCATTTTTGTTTTATACTGTGACACTGTGGTCTTTTAGCCCCTGAATTTTTTTAAGTGTGATTTAAATATGATTAACATATATATCCTAGCCAGTTGATATGTATTTTGCCTGTTGACATGGGCAATATTGACATTTTGGACAGAATAATTGTGTTTTGGGGGATGGAGGGTGTGTCCTGTGTACTGTAAGTTGTTTAGCAGCATCCCTGGTCTCTACCCAGTAGATGCCAGTGGCTCTCCCCGCTCCAAATATCACAACCCAAACTGTCTCCAGACATTACCAGATGTTCCCCGGGGTACATAAGTGCCCTTGGTTGAAAAGTGTTGTTTAGAGGGATGTCTCTTGAGGCATCCCTGAGATTTCTTTCCTAGTGAATGTATTTTCATCTAAATGTGTGTAAAATTTGCCAATGATGAATATTAGGACATCGTGTAAGAAAGAACCAAGATATAAATTTATCTCAACTGGGCAGTATTCAAATTCAACATCCTAAAATTTCTAATGGATAAATGTAAAGTCCTACATTTAAACTCAAATAATAAATTTCATAGGTATAAATTAAAGAAGCATTGTCTTGGAAAAAATAATTTTAGTTGAATAAATTCACTTTAATTCAAACAAGTATTATATACACTTTAAAAAACTAATGACACCTTAAATGTCATCAGAGAGAAAAAAGTTCAAATCAAGGAAGGTGAAAACTTTGTTGTAATTTGGTTTGTTACCAAGTACTGTGGTCATTTTGTATCATATTTTGAGAATAGAGGTTCAAGAGAAGGTTATTACAATTGTGAGAAGTTGGGAATACATATAATTTGAGTTAATGGTCAAGAGAAACCAGAATGTTAAGATTGCAGGAGAGAAAATCCAGGTGGGGTTTGGGGGAAAGTGGTGGTAATGGAAAGGCTGTCATATGAAAGGAAGGTATGTTCTATTTTGCACAAAGAGATTTAGAACCAATGCATGGAAGTTCTGGAGAGCTAGATATAAGGAACTGCAATTTTTCTACAGTGAAATAGACTGAATTGCAAAGGAGCTATCCTTCTTTTGACCATAGCTGGACAATGCTTTGTCTAGGATACTGTAAAAAGTGTCATCTACATTGGGACAATCATCGTGAACCTCTAAAGGATTCTTAATTTTAAATAGACAATTTTGTGATAATTCTACTCTCTTAGCAGTAGCTGCCTGGCACACTTTTGTTTTACCCTATTAAAGAGGTAAACTTTAATTTTTATCTTTTAATAAAATGTACTCAAACAAATAAATAAATAGATTAATACAAAAGAGACTGAATAAAGAAATAGTTTAAAGTTTAACCCTTAGGCATACCATAAACCAAACATGAAGGGGAAAAAATAATCACTGGTAATTCCACTACCAGAGGTAGCTTCTGTTGGTATTTGTCCTTCCATTTTATTGATGCATTTTATTCCCTTAATTTTTTTTCTTTTATTCCTATAGTTTATCTAATCTGTTGTATTTTTCTCATTCAAAAATATGACAGAAGCATAAATAGAAATGATAGCATTAAAATGTAAATAAATGCTTTGGTAAAGGGATTATATTTAAAATTTTTAATCAGTTCTTCTGATTTCTACAATGTTGTCCTTTTACTTTTTGTGTCCCAGCAAGACAGGTCCTACCACAAAAGACTGGGTTATAAGGAAATACTGTTGATTTAGTTCTCAGTATATCATCATATGCATGGGAAGTCTGTGGTAAATATGATTTGATTTTGATGCATTGTCTTGTCTTCAAAGTTTTAACATACTTGTGAGATGAGGATGATAGAAATATGAAACGCATCAGGACTATGGTCCACTAGTTGAAATTTGCTTCTAGTGTTGCTAGTATTACAGATGCCTAGGCCAATGCCTTCAGATTTTAAGTACTAAGCCAATAAGGCAATGGTCTTTTACATTAATGCAATCATCTCAACTTAAGAGCCCTTTTGCAACATAAGTGAAGAACAAAGTTCTATCATTTTTCATTTCTTGAAAGTACCTACATTATATGTTTAACTTTATAATAAAGTTGCCCAAAACTGAAATCTCTCTCTGTATCAGTCTTCTGAAAAGGCTTGCTCTGTTTAAGGTTTCTACTTGCAGGTTGATCTGCCAATACTATTTGGCCTAAAATCAGTTAGCTTACTATGTGGCAGCTTCTGCTGAATGCCTTTGTATTATATCCAGCACAGAAAATTGCCGAGTAGGTACTTGGAAAGCACGACTGTTAAACAATTTGATTTTGGTAAATATACCTATTTCAATAAAGTTGGCAACCCTTGATTTATTCCATCACACAAGAACTGGTACTTCATAGTAGTCATTGATTATTGAGACTCATTTAGAGGTTTGTTTTCAGGAACTTGGAACCTCGTAAAGGATTATTTTTTTCTTTGACCTTAACTAAGCTGTAGTGTTCTGTCTTCTGCTTGTATTAGAAGGTCAACAAAGAACTTCCCGGTAGAATAGTTTTTGAGTTGTGTTTTTTTTTAACTCATAATAATTGAGGTTGAAGTTAATGTTATCCCAGTCACTAGCTGTCTTTGTATAAGGTTTTAAATTATAACTTTAAGTAGGTGATTTGTATATATCCATCTGTCGGAAAATGAAAAAAATATAATTCAACAGTTTTTCACGTTATCTAAAAAACTGACAGCCCAATAAACTCTTCAATTTTATTATTCTAACTCTGATGACTGAGAAGTCTAACTATATGTGTATGTCATTCTGAGATTCTTTTCTGTTTAAATATTTTGTTATACATGTAAGTATGGTAAATTATGTATGTATACTATGTGCATGTGTGTATATATATGTAGAGAGAGAGATTTGCTTCTGGAATTTCATTATAGTTATAACTAACTACATATTAGTGCATTGTTATTAACAGTGGTCATGGTTAATAACAATATTACCAATAACAATGGTCAACGATAGCGCATTATTATTAAGCAGCCAATTACATATTTCATAAATATGCTTTCCTTTTTATTAAGGAAAATCAAGTTATTTCTTGTGGGGCTGTGTACGTAAACTGTTATTTTTCAAATATATCTTGGCAGTTTTAGTAATACAGTGTACAGCAGTAAGAAATATGCAGTCTATTCTAATCTAAGTAAACTAATTGAATTTTTCCTGCTACTACCTCATGCTGCCTGCCCCTTCTTCCCCACAATCAGTTAAAAAAAAGTGAATACTCTTCGGAATTTGCTTTTTTCTTGCCTTCAAGTTGTTCAGTATCTTGGATTTCTCCCTGGTTTGGTTTCCTTAAGTACTTTGGTTTTATCAGAGAAGCTACGTTTCAAACCATTAGTGAGAAGACTGAAATACATGTCCATTCGAAAACAAAAGAACTATGACTCTCAGGCAACTAAACACTTTTTAGGCAAAAAATTAACAGTTTTATCTTAAATAAACAAATGAATTCAATTTGTTTCTCCTTATTTGGATTAAAACAAATTTCTTGTTCAAAAACCATGCTGATGTTCTCTGATCATACTATTCCATGGGTTTTAGTGATCTAAACTTGCGTGCTCGTGTACTTAATAGATTTTATGTGCAACTTTGCCTTAAAAGTGTTAAAAACAGTAGGAGGCAGTTGTGTTCCACTCAGGCATGTGTGATGACAGATGGAGAAAATCTTTTCATGTTGACTTTTCAACAGTCCTACTCTGCAAGACTTCAAGCTCTTCTTGGCTATTGGGAAATCAAAAGTTGGCGATTCAGCCTTTAATTTTGATCCATCTGCTCAAACTAATGAGACGTCTCATTTGTAAGCTTCTCTTTGTGTTACCAAATGCAAGTACAGCTTTATCATTCCGGCTAATAATTCCCCTCCTCCTGTGTAACTTGCAGAATGGGAAAATAATTAATGCCTTAACTCTATTGAGATTTTTCTTGTTATACAAACTTTGTTACAGTTATAGGAAAAGAAATTAGAAACTTCCTCAGAGATTATGGCATATTTAGTAAGTTAATTTAGGTTCTTTTCCATATTGTCAAAAAAGTTAAATTCTTTGCAGCTTCTTACTGAAAATCTACCTTCAGTTTTAAGGAATAAAAGGCCTTGTGATACTAAAGACAAAAAAAGTCTTCTTCAACCTTGGATTAATGCTGAACATCAGCCTTTGTTTAGATGTGTGTCTTATTTTCTCTTTCCTCATTGTTTATAAGTTGTTAGTAGACATTTCTATTTCTAAGAAATCACCTTTAAAAATTGACTAATAATTATAGATTAATTTATTACTATCTGAAGAAAATTATTTTTATTTCTAATCATTATTTCTTAGTTTAATTATGTAAATTAATTATGTAAAAATCAAAACAAATTCCATCATGCTAACTTAAATAATGAAACTTTCCATTGGCCCTTTGCCTATAAAGTTTATATTCTCCAGATATAATAAGCATCTCTAATTCTCAGTACTAGTGTTTCTGCTATATCAAATTTGCCTCGCATGACTTTTATTTGTGAATTATTTGAGTGCTTCTTTCTTTACTCCGCTTCCCACTTTCAACTGAGATGTAATTCCAAAGGAATATAAAAGCTAGAGTCGAAGGAGACATTTTAATTAGGAGCACAAGAATTAAAGATATTTCTCCTTCATCTTTACCACTAAAGATAGTACTACTAAAGAAATATTTCAGGTGTTTTTTAAGTACAAGAAAATCTAAAGGAATCATTTTCTAAACGTCTACTTTTAAAAAAGTGAAAAGCTCTGTTGAGTCTTCTGTCAAATTGAAATTCCCCTATCCATATTGCACAGGCAAAAAAAAAAAATACTTCTTGGTAATGTTGAGTTTTCTATTTTACTTTTAAGTTAATATTACAAGTATTTGCTTAGAATTTTAAAACTTTCCTATATATAAGATAAAAATTTCATTAATATATTTGTATATAACTAATATATAAAAACAATAGTTGATACTTGATGTACTTTTTCATTAACAGTGGCCCTTTTATAGAGAGAAGAGGATAAGACATTGAGGTTATACATTTATCCATTTATTCATTCCTTTGTTAACAGTCATTTGTTATAGACATTCTATGGGTAAGGTGTTTGGAAGAGTTGGAAGTGCATTATCATCCTATATGGGCCAAATGCCAGATAGTTGAAAGTTAACATCAACATTTGGTTAAAGTAAAGGCCAGAAGAAAATATCACCATCATAGAAGGAATTTCTAGTAGAATATAATGAAAATTTATCAAAGAGAATTTAATTATAATTATAAATTTAGTAGTTAGATTTTAAAAATTGGACATTGTAATTCAAAAGCAATAATTTCTTAGCACCGTAAGCTGCTAGAGTAATCTTGTCATTAATATACTGCATATTGGGGATACTAATAAATGCTCATTTTCAGCTGAGACCAGTAGAAGAGCAAGACTTATTTTACTGTCACCAAATTATTAAGCTATTCTTTCTCTCTGATAATAAGTTACTTAAGTAAGTATTTGTCTCTTCTCTCCTAATCTTGAAGATTTGGTCATTGCTAAATGGTACTGTTTTATTTAAGCAAACTTACAAACTGAAGCTTTGTACAGTGTTTAAATATAGTGTTTTCCAAATATTTTTAGAAAGGGGTTGAAAATTATTGTCCTCTTACGTTTTTAAATTTCTATTATTTTTGTGTTTACTTTTTATTCTACACAATTATTTGAAAAAGCAGCTGCTCTTGAACAGTTCATTTAGAAGTATCAGTGGAGAATGGAACTGATTTTCAAGATGACAGAAAACATTTATGATATTTAGAAAAAAAAATCCAGATGGCATGTCTTGTTTATATTATGCTATTAGACTGGTCAAAAACTATGGTAATAAACATTATCACATGATCATTGGTCATGCCTAATTCAAGAACAGGAAAAATCATGTTGACCTAGGCATTCTGCTGTTCACACTTCCAAAACCAAAGCCAAAGGTGATTAGCACATTTTTAACTAAATATCAAGGAAAATTCAAAGCTTGATACACCCTCAATAAAAGGTTGTTTTTACAAAAAGATAAAATTCCCTGATAATAAGAGCTCACAATTGTGAATAAAATAATCAATAGATTAGGTGGAGGTTGTAGAAGTGGAAATACTTGCAAAATGCTGATTTTACCTTTTACCTATCTCCTTACTCTTTTTGACACAAAACTCTGTTTTTCTTTATCCTCTAATCTCTTTGCCCATTCCTCATTCTTTATAGCATTTTCCTTCTCTACCAGGCGTGGCCTTAGACCCTTTATAAATTTAGCTCTCTTTCTTGTGGTTTTATCCCATCCCAATTATGACCTTTATAGAACTACCTTACATATTTGTACTCCAAACCCAGACCTCTTTTCTGAGCTCTGGATCCATATGATCCTGTGTGGCTGGCCTTTTCTCTTGGGTGTCTCAAATACAGTGTATCTGAACCAAATTTGTAATCTCCCCCTACAAAATGGTAGTAATCTGTCATTCCTTAGCTTAGTGAATGGCATGACTATAGATTTAGTTCCATAAGCCAGAAACCAAAACATCATCCTTGTCAACTCTCTCTCCCTCAGTCTCATTTGTAAACCCTCACCAATGCCTATCTAGTTTACCTCCTAAGTATCTCTTAAGTCTGCCCATTTCTCTCCATTCCCTCCTCTTTCTGCCACCACTACGTAAGCCAAGCAACCATCATGTCTTTCCTGGACTACTCTAGCCACTTCTTAACTGCCCTGCCTGCCTTCATTCTGTCCCTCTTATTGACAGACTGTACATAGCAGCTAGCTAGACCTGGCTTTCAAAACACGGTTCCAGTATGACATTTAAATGATTAAAGTTCCTGTATAAGGGCCCAGTTATTCTCATATTGTTTTGCCATTACCTGCTTCTTCTTTACATATTTCTCTCTCTCTTTCTTACTTTCTCTCTCACTTCCACCTCCCACGCCTTCTTTCATCCCTCATCATAGTGATGCTCTTTTACTTTTCTTGGGGCTTTTGTACAAATTGTTCCCTATGACTCACACATCCTTATTCTCTTCACTTAGTTGTACTCTACCAAATTCTTCAGACTTCATCTTTCTCAGAGAAACCCTTTTTTTTAAACATCCCTGACTGTCACCTTCTTATTATAAGCTGTAATAACACTGTATATCTTATTCGTAATTCCAGCTATAGTTTTACATTTTTTGGCTTTTTAAAATTAGTGTCACCCTTTATTATAGGATCATAATTCCTATTACAACAAGGGCTGTCTCTGGTTTTGCTCACCATTGTACTGACATGCGTTGCTTAATGCATGGGGATGCATTCTGAGAAATGCACCGTTAGGCACTGTATTAGTCCATTTTCACACTGCTGATAAAGACATACCCAAGACTGGGCAATTTACACAAGGAAGAGGTTTTATGCACTTAGATTTCCACATGGCTGGGGAGGCCTCACAATCATGGCAAAAGGCAAGGAGGAGCAAGTCACATCTTACATGGATGGTGGCAGGCAAAGAGAGAGAGCTTGTGCAGGGAAACTCCTGTTTTTAAAACCATCAGATCTTGAGACTTATTCCCAATCATGAGAATAGCACAGGAAAGACCCACCGCCATGAGTAAAGGAATTGTGGGAGTAAGTAAAGTTAGTTGTTTTATATAATTTGTTTTAAATTTTTGATTTTTGAAAGATTCAACATAGATCAAGCTGATTTAAATCAAATATTTCTGGTTTAGGAGTTGAATGCATTAGATTATTTGGCAATTTATTTGGCAAGTACCTCCAACCGGGTTCCTCCCATGAAACATGGGAATTGTGGGAGTTACAATTCAAGATGAGATTAGGGTGGGGACACAGCCAAACCATATCATTCCACCCTGGCCCCTCCCAAATCTCATGTCCTCACATTTCAAAACCAATCATGCCTTCCCAACAGTTCCCCAAAGTCTTAACTCATTTCAGCATTAACTCAAAAGCCCGCAGTCCAAAGTCTCATCCAGACAAGGGAAATCCCGTCTGCCTATGGGCTTGTAAAATCAAAAGCAAGTTAGTTACTTCCTAGATACAATGGGGTACAGGCATTGGATAAATACAGCATTCCAAATGGGAGAAATTAGCCAAAACAAAGGGGCTTCAGGCCCCATACAAGTCCAAAATCCAGTGGGGCAGTCAAATGTTAAACCTCCAAAATGATCTCCTTTGACTCCATGTCTCACATCCAGTTCATGCTGAATGCAAGAGGTGGGCTCCCATGGCCTTGAGCAGCTCCACCCCTGTGGCTTTGCAGGGTACAGCCTCCTTCCCAGCTGCTTTCACGAGCTGGTGTTGAGTTTCTGTGGCTTTTCCAGGTGCCTGGTGCAAGCTGTCAGTGGATCTACCATTTTGGGGTCTGGAGGATGGTGGCCCTCTTCTCACAGCTCTACTAGGTGGTGCCCCAGTAGGGACTCTGTGTGGAGGCTCCCACCCTAGCAAAGGTTCTCGATGAGGACCCCATCCCTATAGCAAACTTCTGCCTGGGTATCCAGACATTTTCATACATCATCGGATATCTAGGCAGAGGTTCCCAAACCTCAATTCTTGACTTCTGTGCACTCACAGGCTCAACACTACATGGAGGCTGCCAAGACTTGGGGCCATAGCTGGAGCAGCTGGGATGGAAGGCACCAAGTCCCTAGGCTGCACGCAGCATGGGGACCCTGGGTTCAGCCCACAAAACCACTTTTTCCTCCTAGACCTCTGGGCCTGTGATGGGTTGGGCTGCCACAAAGGTCTCTGACATGCCCCAGAGACATTTTCCCCTTTGTCTTGGTGACTAACATTTGGCTCCTCTTTTCTTATGCAATTTTCTGCAGCAGACTTGAATTGCTACTTAGAAAATGGGATTTTCTTTTCTACTGCATTGTTAGGTTGCACATTTTCCCAACTTTTATGCTCTGTTTCCCTTTTAAAACTGAATGCTTTTAACAGCACCCAAGTTACTTCTCGAATGTTTTGCTGCTTAGAAATTTCTTCCAGCAGATACCCTGAATCATCTCTCTCAAGTTCAAAGTTCCACAAATCTCTATGGCAAGGGCAAAATGCCGCCAGTCTCTTTGCTAAAACATAACAAGAGTCACCTTTGCTCCAGTTCCTCATCTCCATCTAAGACCACCTTAGCCCAGATTTCATTGCCCAAATCATTATCAGCATTTTGTTCAAAGCCATTCAACAAGTCTCTAGGGAGATCCAAACTTTCCCACATCTTCCTGTCTTCTTCTGTACCCACCAAACTGTTCTGACCTCTGCCTGCTACCCAGTTCCAAAGTCATTGCACATTTTTGAGTATCTTTTCAGTAGCACCTCACTCTACTGGTACAAATTTACTGTATTAGTCCATTTTCACACTGCTGATAAAGACTTACCTAAGACTGAGCAATTTACAAAAAAAGAGGTTTCACATACTTACAGTTCCACATGGCTGAGGAGGCCTCACAGTCATGGCAGAAGGCAAGGAGAAGCAAGTCATGTCTTACATGGATGGCGGCAGGAAAAGAGAGAGCTTGTAGAGGGAATCTCCCGTTTTTAAAACTGTCAGATCTTGTGACACTTATTCACTATCACAAGAACAGCACAGGAAAGACCCACCCCCATGATTCAATTACCTCCCACCGTGTTAGTCCCACGACACATCAGAATTGTGGGAGTTACATTACGATTCAAGATGAGATTTGTGTGGGGACACAGCCAAACCATATGATGCATTATTTCGTTGTGCAAACATTATAGAGTGTACTTTCACAAACCTAGATGATATAGCCTACCATGTACCTAGGCTATATATGATATAGCCCTTATATGGGACCAATGTCATATATGTTGTCCAATGTTGATCAAAATGTGGTTATGTAGCACATGACCCTATTCCCATGGCCTCACCAGCACTTGGCATATAGTTGGTGCTCAGACAGTGTTTGATGAATAAGTGAATAGGTGAAGTCTTCTGCTTAAGTCTGATCTTATAAGATCAGGGGGGCAAAACAACTTCAAGAAAAATCAAGAAGATAATTATTAGTTCTTTGGTAAGCTGAAAGTAGAGGCTGAAGGGAAAACAACTTTGAGATGTGGAACAGTAACAAAGGTAGCTTTGACTACCTTCTTAAGGATTTTTTTCCCTCTGTGGTCTGTAAAGATCAATGAAAGAATGTCAGTATTCTCCTTAAAAACATTTTTTATGTAAATTTGCTCTTATTATTTCATCTAGTTATAGATCTTTCTATTAGAAGTATTAAATTATCTAATTTCTCCTAATTTAAGATGTCCATCCAACTTCACTATTTTTTCATGATACAGACTTATCATTTTTGTCACCAGTTATTTTAAGTTAGTATATTTTTGCTTTTTTAAATTTCTATTCATTAAGCCCTTGAGTAGTAAATTTGGAGCCCTTTTAAAAATTTAGATTTTAGAGCAGAGAAAATTTTTGTTTTTCTGAAATATAGCTAGCTTATCATAAGAGCACTCCATTATATTTTTGAAATTTTATACAACAGTTTTTAAAATTAACCTTGTTATTTTGTTCTCATTTTCAAAGGAATACTTTTTAATGAGGAATATTAGTATTGTATTTTTCTTCATTGCTATTAACAATTTTTTCCTAAGTCTTTGAGGATTTTCAAGTTACTGAACTAATACATACTTGTAACAAGTGAATGGATGCAAAGATATAAAAAGAAAAGGCTAATGAGTTAGTTTCCCCCCACATCACCTTACACCTAATACTCCTATCTTTGAAGTGTATTCAGTTTCCTCCTTGCAAATACAGACATCTACAAATGTACATATATTTAAGCATTTGAGCTTTCTAAATGATTTTTAAACCATTAATCAGTGATTTCTGGAATTACTGCACAAACTGAAAGAGCACAGTGGAACAGTTTGTCTCCGAATGATGTTTAGGAATTTGAAGATATAAACTAAGCTTAGATCTGCCTTTGTGCATGCCATAGACCTATTCCCAACTTCTTTGTTGATAGTAGTGAATGTGATTAGGGAAATTTTAATAAAATCTCTTAAGATAGATTTAAATTTTCATGGAAAAATTCCTTCCGTTACCAGCCTTTCTGCTGATGGCAAATAATATTTCTTTTTACCTCTTGGCCACCTCAGTTCCAATTGTCATATTGATGGGAATTGGATATCCTAGGTATGTAAGTATGCAGTAAATGTTCTTTTTTCATTCTTGTCTTCCCATTTTAAGTTTTACCCAAAATATCAAAAGAAAATACTGTGCATAATTTTGGAAATAATTGGAAGCAAAACAAGTAGTTTTGTTTATTTTCTTGAAAATGTTTTTTTTTTTAATACAGTTACATTGTTGAATGCCAAGGAACTTATATAAAATTAGATTTAAACCAGGACAGTGAAGCTAATGTTTCATTCACTTCAAGTCTTTGCCTCTATTATGTATTAGCATTATCTCTTTTTTTTTGTGTGTCTCAGTATAAATTGCTTATAGAAGTTACCAACTTTTCCATCCATTTCTTCATTCTTTAAATCTTCTTTGATTCCCCTTTTTAACTATCCATCTTTATGTCTCAAGCAGCAAAATGTGAAGATAGCTAATACAAGTTGCTTTGCCTTGTTAACTAGGTACTATTTTTTTTTTACCATAGCACTTTGTAATTTTTATCTTGTTTTGTTTCACACCTCCAGAATGTCTTGCATAAAAGCAGATATTACTATTGGGCCCTGCATGTATGTGCTTTATGTGCATGTAGCCAATGCATAAATGCATGTTTTCTGACTTGCTACATAAAAGTAGACTTAGTTGTTATATAAAATGTGTTTTAAAATTTTGGTTTTTGAAAGATTCAACATAGATCAAGCTGATTTAAATCAAATATTTCTGGTTTAGGAGTTGAATGCATTAGATTATTTGGCAATTTATTTGTGTGATTTCATGATTACAATATCATATTACAGTGTGCATATATATGTAATTTAATATGTATACACATATATAATTGTCAAATTAAATAATATAAAAGGACCTTTGAACCTATTTTAAAATATTCACTTCTGTGAAATACATCATACTTTCGTTAATTTTATTTATTTTGGCAAAAATGAAACCTAACTTGTATACATGTTTATTTTATACTATTTATTTGAATTAATTTATTGTTGTTTAAGTATAGCCTTTAGTCATGCTAAAATAATGTTTGCTTGCAGTCATTTTTCTGTCTTTATAAAGTTGTAGAAAATTCTCTAAACATCCATTGGGAGTATTTTACATTGTATTATTAGAAGTTTATTTGACAGCTATTTATTTCATTCTAGAGAATGATGTATTGAATCTCCTTATTAGCTTCTTTCCACCTGATATTTGGACTTAAGCCATTGGTAAATATAGTTAATAAGTTAGGTTACTACCATAAACATTTGTTGACTACATTTTTAGAGAAATCATTTGATAAAATTGAACAGAGTATTTTTTATTAAAGCCGAATATGAAATTTTATGTGCCAACGAAATCTGATACAATTATCCATGTATTTTCTCAATGTGAAAAAAAGGAGATAAATATTCAAATATGATTAACCATTATACATTTGTACTGTCTTTATCTGTAGCTGTCATTTTTATCAATTTTTTGTTTGTTTTCATAGTAGCATATTTAAGTGAGAGGGGATGGAAAGAAAAATTATGTGTCTATATTTAATATTGTAAAATAATGTTCTGTTTTTAAGAGAATAACATCATAGTCTTAGATCTCATCTCCTTTTTTCTTTGTTTTATAATTGAGTAGATGAGAAATGTAGCTATCACTATATTATGGTAAATAAAGTGGGCATTTCTAAATAGCCCATCATTTAAATTAGTAACTGCTCCAGAAATACAGTCAGAGACCTGTTAAATAAGTCTGAAACTGTGAAGTGTCTAAGATGTTGCCCTACCTGCATACTAAAAGGTAGCCTGCCATAGGCTAACTTTGACACCTGGGTCAGGGTACAGACCGTGTTGCTTCTCCCTAACTCTCCACTGGTCTATCTACATGGCGAGAGCCAGCTACTGCATGTGCATGGGTTGCACCACAGGAGAGGTACTCCAAAATTATGAAACTCTGAGCTTGTATAGGAGCTATGGGCACATCTGTTCATCCTCTCCTCTGGAGAGAGAAAGAGAGGAGAGAAAAAAAGTAGACCAATTGGCCATGCAGGGACCTTATCTTTTACTATGGTTACCAGACTCCCTTGAGGAAGGAAAGGAAGGCCTATATCTTGGAAAGTAAGCAGTTGACTCCTTGGGAGATAAGAAAGGAGTCTCTAGGCTTTTGTTACCCTTTGAATTGGAGAAAATGGCTCTGGGGAAATGAAGACATTCTCTGTCTGTTTAGCACTTTAGTTTCTATTACTCAGAAGGCCCTGGACGTGTAGGAACACCAGAAATTTCAGGGAGGATTACCTTCCAACAAGACCCAAGGTGTCTGGAAGGGACACACAGGGTCTACTAAACTTGCTAGTATTTTGTTGATGATTTTTGCATCTGTATTAATAAGGAATAATAATGTCTTTTATAGATAATTTTTTTTCTGGTTCAAGATCCCTGTCCAAGATTGCATATTGCATTAATTTATCATGTCCGTTTAGTTTCCTTTAATTTAGAACAGTTCTTTGACCTTATTTTGTCTTTCTGGATTTGACTTTGACATTTTTCAAAGAGCGTATATCAATTATTTTGTAAAATGACTCCCAATTTGAGTTTGTCTAAAGTTTTTTCATGATTAAGCCCTATTGGCTTTGTAACAATAATACAACAGAAGTGAAGTTATGTCTTAGTACTTGACACCAGGTAGTAAATGTTATTGGATTTGTCCAGTATTGCTGACATTCATTTTTATCACTTGTTAAAGGTTGTTTCCTCTAAGTTTCTCCATATAAAGTTATTATTTTCCCCTTTGTTTCTAATAAGGGAGGAGATACTTGTGTGACTAAATATATAGTGCCCCTCATCAAACTTTTACCCATTCATTTTAGCATCTTTTGATGATTTTCTAACTCCATCATTTCCTTCATCCCACTATATGTATGGAATAGCTTCCTTTCCCCTATTTATTAATTTATATCTCTGTGGACTTTTATAATTTACTCTGTGGACATCTTGAAAGTGTTACAATCTATCACTATACAATTTACTTTGAAGATAATATTGGCCCAAATTTGGCCAGTGGAAGCCCCTTCAAGCTAGCTTCTGGTTTTTACCATTTTGCACAATAGGATCTTCTAAGATCTAATTTTGTACTTTCCACTTCTCAGACTTGGAATTAACTATTTCTGCAAACACACCTAGTCTCTTTAGTAGGGAATGGTTTTATAAACTCTTTAGAAACAATGAAACTGTTTTATCTTTGATTGATTGATTGAGATTGAGCCTTCCTCTGTCACCCAGGCTAGAGTGTAGTAGTGTGATCATAGCTCACTGCTGTCTCACTGCTGTCTCAAACTCCTGGGCTTCAAGCCACTTCCCATCTCAGCCTCCCAAGTAGCTGGGACTACAGACATGTGCCACTGTGCCCAGCTTTTTTTTTTTTTTTAATTTATTCTAGAGATGGGGTCTCCCTTTGTTGCCCAGGCTAATCTCAAACTCCTGACCTCAAGTGACCCTCCAGCCTAGGCCTCCCAAAGTGCTGGGATTAAAGGCAGGAGCCACCTACCTGGACTGTTTTATTTTTAAATAGAAATTTTTACCAATTTTTTTCCCAAAAATATTATTCAGGAAAATGAAAGGGATGATGAGATTTTAGAATTTTCAAACTTTTATCCAAGAGCAAATATAATTTTCCACAGTCCCTTTCCACTGGAAGATTTCCTCCTATACCTGTAATATTTAGACTGCTTCAGGTTGCTCTGAGGTGTCACAGGAATTGCTGTCATGAGGTTAGGAGTAGGGAGAAGTGTGCTGTTTGGAAGTGAGAAAAGAGATGTGGATTTCTCTCAGATCCACTTCAGTCGCTTTAATCTTTTTGTTTATTTATTTATTTTTAATATATTGAGCTGCTACAAGAGTTTGTTGTAAGAACAAATTCCACAGCTAAAAAAAATTTTTAAACTGCTTCCTTACAGCATTAGTTTCTCATAATTTACATAAAGATTAATAATTTCTGTTCTGTGGTGACACTTAGTAGACATATTTCACATATGGAGTATCTATTTCATTTTTGTTACAGAAATGGAATTTGGTCATCTACTTTGTCATGTATGCATTGGACCAAGCAAATCAGCAGTTTTCCCTTTTGGTCCTAAAATCCCAGCTTGAACACTAATTGTCTATACTAAGTGAATACTGATTGGGTGTACTATATGGTTTCAAATATAATGTCTTATTCATTGAACAACTGTGATTCCTCCATTTTCTCAAATCAGGTATAAAGTCAAGTATTTGCATATATAATAAGACAGACCTGTAACTGAAAATGCTGCCCCAACTCTACAAACCAGCACTGAGTTTGAAAGCTTTTTTTTTTTCCCACAGCCTTTCCACCCTCAGTTTTGTTATTTTTTCTCAGTGATTGTGGACTCCTTGCATATGGAGATTCTCACAATTCATACTACCTTCACTATACAGACCAAAACTTGAACACCTCAGTTTGTTGGTTTGGCTAAATGCTTTTATATAAATACCTGTAACAATATCAAGTTTTCAATTTAAATGCTTTCAACATAAATAACAGTTATGAGTGTATCAAAAACTTATAATCAAATGTGATATAAAGAAGATATACTCTATAGTCATCATATATATGTATCTTAAATTCATATCATTATATATTCTGTCTTTATAATTTGAATCATTGCCAAAATACTGTTGAGTTATATTACTTACTTAAAAGTTAAAATGGATAATATTCTAATTTTTTCCTTAAATTGTAGGTTATATTTATTAAATCATATTTTTAACATCTTCTGATCAGGTCCCTAATAATTTTATTTTATAAAAAAAGTATTTCAAAGATGGTATTTAATAGATCATCATTATGTTGATCTTGTCATTAAATCTTCTAAAGCATCATCAAGTTCTCCTAGTCCAACTGCTTATTTACAGATGAGAAAACTAAGCCTAATACTATGCCCAAAGTGAAATATGCTTATGCTTTGGAATTGAGAATAGAACCTTGGCTTCTTCACTTCCATTTCAAAGTTTTTTCCCACCACAAAACTGACATCTTCATTTAACCACTTAATGCCCTAAAGAGAGAAAACAATTCAGAGAATATGTTTATAAATTCCAATTGGAACAAAAGAAAAAAAGAAAAGAATAATTTTTAAAATTCCAACTAGAAAATCTGAGGCCTAAGGAAATTTTCAATAGTGTGGGTGAAAGATCTGTAGTTTCATGATAATTTTAAGTTACTAAAGTTTTTTTCAAGTTTCTAACTGGAGTTGATGTTCAAGCTCATATATTTTTGAAAATATAATCATATTAAACCATATTATCAAGCTAAGAACAATTTAGACGTGAAGCATTTATAAATTTTTAAAAAAATTTCTTCAGCAAATTATCTTGCTTGAACGTATACTTTTTAGTATTGAAGAAGTATAAAGTACATAGAACTCATATAGTGTCAAACCATGAAAAACCATCATTTATGAAAAACAGCATTGAGAACTGGTGATGTTTAGTTCAAGAAAGAGAAAGTCATACCAGAGATATGATAGCAGTTTCCAAATATTTGAAGAATTGTTATATGTAAATAGTAGTTCAGTTTTGCTTTCCTCTTGCCACAAGTAGATCAGTATTGGTCTTGGTCCCAATGAATGGGAAGTTTAACAAATAAATCTGGGTGAATGTTAGAAAAACTTCTGTAAAACAACTAAACGTTGGCCTACCAAATAGATCACTTCCATGTGCCAGGTGTCTTCCTAGTACTTTGTAATTATTGTTTGTTGTTCCCACAGCACCCTTGTAAGGCAGGTACTGTTATCTCCATCTTACAGATAAAAATTGAAGTGCGGGTGAACTTGCCCAAGTTTATCTAGTATATAAATGCTGAGCTATGATTTGAACATAGGTCTACTTGATTCTTAAACACTGCTGATATTCAGCACAAGTCTATATGTTATATAGATTAGTCTGGCATCAGGTAAGAATTTGATAAGTTAGTCTAGATTGCTAAAAAATTTTTCTAAAACAAAAACAATTGATTTATATTAAATTTGTATAAGTAATTATGAGCAAGTAAAATTAACGTGTATGATTATCTTTATTTTCTTCTGTATGTTATAAATACCAAATAAAAATTATAACATAGTCTATGTTCAAGAAAATGTTAAGGTGTAAAATACACATTTATTTATAGCATTATAGTATTAAGTTATTCATGTTTATAAATATAAGTTGCAAAAATGAATTCATATCTCAGATTAATTGAATGCATATTAAGAATGTATAGAAAATTTATTCAAGCATCAGTTGGATGACATAAATTATTTTACCTCCAAAAAATACATATGCTTAAGAAAACATTGTTTTCATTAAAGAAAAAATTTACAGTAAAGGAGAAATGCATTCAAAATATTTACTGTTTTAAAATTTTATACTTAATAAACTATACGTTTTGTTGTATTTTCTGGGGTCCTAGTATTTCAGGGACTGCTGAAATATGTCTTATGTTTCTAAATATATTGTACAATGTCTTGCTATATTGGTGAATTGATTGTAAGATAATATTTTTTATAGTTGGCTTAGAAATATGACTACTTGTATTTTTGCTGTCATGGTACATAATGTACACTTAGTCCTCTGGTTTTTTAAATTATACTTTTTAATACAGATATCTTTTAGATTTTAGGAGATGTAAAGTATTGTTGATTTCTTTTAATAAAATATAGCAGTTAAAGCTCTCCTCAACTCAAACATACAAGCTGATAAATATTAAAGTGATTTTTAAGTGAAATTTATAAGGAATGTTTCACATTCAGAGTAGTGTTCTGTATATAATTCAGTAATAATAACCTGAAACTATTTATCACTTAAAAGCTTGGGTTTCTTGAGAAGAGCTGCATGAGAGTCCTGAGCTGGCTCTGAACTGCCAAGTGTGGATCTATTACATAGCTTGGAGCTGTGGAACCACATCTCACTATTGTGGATTACTTTCCTTGGCTTATTTACATAACTTCATGAATGAAGACTAGTCAGTGAATTATACAGTCTTATATAGCTAGGGCAGCATAAATTAACCCTATTTGAGGTAGCTTATATTTTCATGGCATATCTAATAAATGTTTACCTATGTCTTCTTGTGCTTTAGTAATTTGATTGGTTGCCAGGAATATCTAATAATAAGTGCTGGTTGTTAAATGCGAATTGATACACTCATGATTAATAGAGGATTTTAACATTTATCATTTTTAGCCCTATTTTTAGTAAATTATAGTTTTATTGTTGTAATCCAAATGTAGTAGTGTCAATTTTTTTACCTTTATCCAAAGTAAGGATGCTTCCTTTATTCTTGTTCAGTAGTACATTACAGTTGGCTCTCCATATTCATGGGTTCTACATTTGTGGATTCAACAACTTCACATGGAAAATATTTGAGGAAAAAAAGAATGGTTGCATCTGTACTGGACACGTAGACTTTTTTTCTTGTCATTATCCCCTAAACAATACAGTATAATAACAATCTACAAAGCATTTACATTGTATTAGGTATTATCAAGATATGATATAAAGTATACAGAAGGATGTGCATAGGTTAAATGCAAATACTACACCATTTTATATAAGGGTCTTAAGCATTTGGTATCCACAAGGGGTTCTGAAACCAGTCTCCCATGGATACCAAGGGAAGACTGTATTTTGGTTAATACATTTGATTAATTTTTAATGTAGGTAGCTTAGATTTAGAAGCCAATTTTGACCTTAAAGTCCAGAATTTTTATATCTTTTTTTCTTATAAGCTAATCTTTCAGAATAGCTTATAAGTAATTTATTTCTTAAATCACATATTTTACACCTTTTAATAGCACTAAAATACGCATACATGTATTTCTATAACACTATCAAAAAACTAATCAGCAGCAACTTTAACTGATTAAATAAATAGCAATGGGAGGTCTGCTGTTAAATTTAAATAAAACTATCCATGAAAATTATTTGGTTGAGTAATTGGAAGTTTGCTTGTTACCTCATATTTTAATAAAGGTGTGAATGGAAAGTATTAACTCAGCCTACAAGCTATTATAATTTATAAACTTTTAAATTCAAATCTCTGCTGAAAAATATGTGGTCTTTGTGAAAACTGACCATTTTTAACATTGTAATTTCAGCAATATTTATTGAGCATCCACTGATTGGATGATAGCAGGAAGGGTAGTAGGTAGACCTCAAAATTAGCAAAATGTAAGCTCTGCCCTCAGGCAGCATTCAAGGAAGAGATATAACTTGATGGAAAGAAAGTAGGCTTTGAAATGGCAAATCTGAGATGAACTCCCTATTCTTCTGAATGAGTGGCAAATTATTAAAATGGTCTGAGCTTTAGTTTTCTCTTCTGTAAAATACTAATACAATTACCTACCTCGCTATGTGGTTAACAGTAAGATAACGTGTATTGTACCTAGTAATGGACCTAGCACGTAGTATGACCCAATAAATGGTGTCTTTTATGATTAGTCTTAACATTGGGGTGAGCTATGTAAGCTTATGATTACACAGAGTGCAAGTATGAACAACGTGTGATGGGAGTGATTAATTTTCCCTGGCGAGATTGGAGAAGGATCACTAGAACTGGGCTTTGTAGGTTTATAGAATTTACACAGATGCAGTCAGCAGGAGGACTAAGTGAAAAACATGGCTAACGTCCTGGAAATATACAAATGCATGAAGGTTTTAAACAACAGGAAGAGTTCAGAGAGATAACACCCAAAGGGCCAATAATGAAGAACTTTAGAGTGTTATGACCTTTAAAATCAAGTACTTTGTCATCTTTGAGAGGGAGGATCCTAGTTAATTTCTACATTATTGTATTTATTGATTTTTGGTTACTTCCTCCTATAGTTGTTCATGTAATGAATGGTGGCTTCTGTGTTCATCATCTTCCTAGACTCCAATCCTTTACCATATAATTAGATATAAGCTCCAGAAGCACAGGGACCAGTGCTAGGCGAGCCCGTTATATGTCCGCAGTGCCTGTCACGTAATTGTTGGATGATCACAGACTAGCAGAGGAGCTAAGTCAAGCACAAAAATAGTCAAAAATAAAAGATAGGCAGTGATAAACACTTAAGAGAGACGCATCTGAATTATTTGGATGCCCAAAAGGATAAGGCATCACAGCACTTGTATCTGGAAGCAGCCAGGAAAAACTACTTAATCGTAATAGTAATGTTCATCTCTTCCACGTAGGTATGAGAGTTTCTATTTTATTTCTTAAATGAAATTTTATGAAAAATGTATAAACTTTTCAAGTAATTCAGTAGCCACAAAACTATATTTTAAAATGTTTAAATCTTAGATTTTTTCATAAGATCTATCTCAAATATTTATACTCAGTTTACTCAGATATACATATCTAAATGCTTTCTTGCTCACCTTCATTTTTAATAAAAGAATCAAGAGTTCCTGTTGTTGTTTTTTTTTTTTAATAACTCCACCACTTTAAAATTATCCTGTCTTCTGTCCTATCAATTACAATTCCAAGATTGTCTTTAGGTGTTTTCCATGGTTTGCGTACTTTTTAAAAATATTTCTTCAAGCCATATTTTTTGACCATGTGATATGTATTCCTTTATTAAAATCAATATTGTTTTAAACCATGATGGCCTTTCTCTGTTAAGTTTAAAATACTTCTCTAACTTAAAAATAATTTTTCAGGTATTTCTTTTAGTAGTATCAGGTTTTTTTTTTTCTGAGCCTTGAAATGAATGATTTCCTTTATCTTAGTATATAATTTTTTATGAGGTTATGTTTTACCTTTTCAGGTGGTATTATTTTTGTCCACATGTCCATTTCTACAAAAAGTCTGTATTGACCGCCATATGAATTTGCTCTCTTCTCTGTTTGAACATATGGATACTTTCCCTTGAACTGCTGTTGATTTCTTCTGCTAGGTCATGTCTCTTTTTTCTTCCTAAAGCATTTCCAGGTAAACTAAAATATAAATTCATCACTTAGACCACAAGTTTTATCATCACCCTTTTAAGTGCATTGCTAAATATGTGTTTTTTTAGGCTTTTTACCATAAAACCCATAGCAGTAAAATAACCATAGCAAATATACTATCTTATTACCATAGTATATTATGAATATATTATTATAACCTCATTGTTATCAATTATTTCTCCGGTTCAAAATAATTTATATATTTAATTATAAAAACTATTTAGCCAGGCATGGTGGTGCGCACCTGTAGTCCCAGCTACTCGGGAGGCTGAGGCAGGAGAATCTCTTGAACCCGGGAGGTGGAGGTTGCAGTGGGCTGAGATCACGCCACTGCACTCCAGCCTGGCGACAGAGCGAGACACTGTCTCAAAAAACAAACAAACAAAAAACTATTAAAGATTTGCTTCAATGGGTAAGACAAACGATACAAGACATACAAAGAAAAAATTGTTTTTTTAATTCTGTTTCCCCCATCCCCCACCAAATCCCGTTTTCATTTTGTGAGATAACTAATTTGGAGGGTGTCCATATCTCTGTTTTCAAACATATACATTCACATACACCTCTATAGAATATAACAACACACTCAGGATAATATTATGGAAATTTTTCTTCAATTGATATTTTTTCACTTAGCAGTATATTATGGACATCTCTGTGTGTATGTGTGAGATCAGGTCTGTGTGTGTGTGTGTGTGTGTGTGTGTGTGTGTGAGAGAGAGAGAGAGAGAGAGAGATTTAAGTACAGAAAAAATGAACTACGTCTGTATTGAAGAGATACCAAAAGTAAAAATCAAAAGATAAAGCACAGACTAGGACACAATATTCACAATACAGAAAAAGGAGCAAAGTGTACTATCTTTCATATACAAAAAGGACCAACAAATTGATAAGAAAAGAATAAAGCCCCAAAATTAAACAGATTATATTCAGAATAGGGACATAGTTCAATAAATAGTCTTATATACTTTGACTTAACTATTCTACTTCTATGAATGTATCCAACAGATATATTCACAAACATGTAAAATGACTTGTGTACAGAGTTATACTCTGTATACACTCTGTATTTATTACATTGCTTTTAATAACAAAAGATTGGAAACAACATAAATGCCCATCAAACAAGGACTAGTTATTATAAATAAGTTTTGGTGTTTCTATGTAATGGAATACTATGCAACTGTAAAATATAAATGAGAAAACTATACTGATGTGAGATCTTCAAGATAATATGGTTCAGTGAAAAAGGAAAAACAGTGTGTATAATCTACTACCATATGGTGAAAAGGGATTAAAATTGTGAATTTGTAGTTGTTTAAATATGTGCATAAACTCTCAAAGGACACACAAGAAACATAGTGGCTACTAGGTTAGAGGGAAGGGTGGTAGAGACATTGTGCACATTTTTATACTTTCTAATTTTGAACTATGTAAATATATTACCCTATCAAAAAATTAATACAGTATATTATAAGGAGCAAAATTATACTCTAATAAACAACTGCTAACATTTGTTGATCACTTACTATGTACCACACACTATTGTAAATGCTTTGTTTATATTGTCTCATTTCTCACAACAACCCCATGTTTTTAGTATACATAAAAGACAAAAATTATTTTTAAAAAGCAGAAATTGCCATTATTAGCTGTGATGGGCTAGTGTGTTTGATTGGGCTCAATGTGTTATATTTACTTAAGACACATTGAGTATTTGCTGTATGCCAGGCTCTTTGCTCACTATTGAGAAGTCAGATAACTAAATATGGAAAGTTATTTGATAGAGGAAGTACTAGAAGAATAAGAATGTGGTCAGATGACTTGAGTGTCTTCAGCTGGCTCGCACTGTGATCTAAAACAAAAACTCTGTAGTGACTTGTAGTGTCTAACTATGGATGATTCTTGGATCTACGGCATGCACAATGAAACCTTTTAAAATTGTATCTACCTGATAATACAAATGTGGTAATGTAATCACAGCAGCAGAAACTATTCTGTGCCTACATGCTGTCATGGGATATAAATAAATATATCTGAAATATATCTGTAGTGGCATTCCCATTCAGACCATACAACACTGTTTTCCCACTTCTTCAGAAGATGGTATTTGCCAGAACTATTGTAAATGCACAGAGGAAAAGCTAATAATTTTTTTAACTTATGATGGATGCCTTAATACAGGATTCTCCTATTTTAACTTGCATCAGAATAACCTGGAGGGCTTGTTAAAACAAATGGCTGGGCCCCACCCTCAGAGTTTCTGACTCAGGGACACTGCTGCTGCTGCTGATGCTGCTGATCAGGGAACCACACACTTTTAAATCACTATTTATGTAGGTCTTTAGGGCTTAATTCTCTTGAAGAGCCTGGGTTAAGAAAGTCGAGAAGAACTGAGAGCAAGACAGATAAGTGGCTGTGATGGCTAGAATGAAAACATAAACTGCCAGGACATGACCCTCCCTACCCCAAGCCTCAGCTTTTGCAAGAGCCAATGCCATATGTGCCACATAATGTAAAACAAAATTTCTCAGCAACATTTTTTCTGTGGGACATCTATCTGCCATATTGTTGTATCTTTTTCAGATATATCCATTCTGCTTCACTTCTTAGCAGTATTCCTAGAAAAGAGGGTTTGATTTGGCCGCGCATGGTGGCTCACGCCTGTAATCCCAGCACTTTGGGAGGCCGAGGCTGGCGGATCACGAGGTCAGGAGATCGAGACCATCCTGGCTAATACGGTGAAACCCTGTCTCTACTAAAAATACAAAAAAATTAGCCGGGCGTGGTGGCGGGTGCCTGTAGTCCCAGCTACTCTGGAGGCTGAGGCAGGAGAATGGTGTCAACCCGGGAGGCGGAGTTTGCAGTGAGCCGAGATCGCGCCACTGCATTCCAGCCTGGGTGACAGAGGGAGACTCCATCTCAAAAAAAAAAAAAAAAAAAAAAGAGTTTGATTCAAGATTTCACATTAAATATTCCTACCGATTTTTTTATTCCTAGTTCATCTTTCACAACCCCCTTAAAAAGGTTGCTAAAGGGGAAGTGTTTTAAATTGTTTTGTGTGATGTTAAATACACATACACACACGCACATATGCATGTAAACGAGTAATAAACAAGTGCATAGTTGTCAATGTATAACAGTGGTATACTGGTCTGTTTAATCTTTTAGGCAAAATTAATTTTGTTTATGTTTATTCGACCTAATAATGGTGCTAATACTTACCAGCTATGACAGAGGTTCTCAAAGTTTCTGGACAATAACATTAGCATCTTTGAACTCCTTAGAAATGCAGTTTCGTGGCTTGCCCCAGACCTATATAGTCAGGAAGGGGATTGGGGGAAACAGCAGCAATCTGTGTTTTTAACAAGCCTGCCAGGTGATTTTGAAGCTTTCTAAAATTTTAGAGCCACCATTTTACTAAACACAGTGTTTTCCCTTACATTGTATCCTTTGATTCTTATAGTAATCCTGTGATACATTGTAACTCTTTATCTGTGTTCTGGGGGAAATAAGAATTGAAGAGATTAAACAATTTATTCTAACTCACACTGATATTTAGCAGTACTCCAAAGAAGAATTTTCAGATCTTTTTCAAATAATATGTCCTTCTTTCCTTTGAATACACCCTGAAACAGTATGTGTTACTTAAGCATTCCAGTTTTCTGAATCATTATTTTCTGAGCTTTTACTCCTTTATTAATTTTAATCAGCATCTCAATGTGAAGAACACTTTCTTTGACAAGTCAAATAACAGGACCAGAACTCAAATTTACATACTTTTTTTTCCCAAGTATGGGAATGATTCCATGATGTATTTTAAATATAAAAGGCTTTTGCAGTTTATGACCACATTCTGCCTACTTTTGTTTCTATGTGAACTTTTCCATAATAAAAATAAAACAATATGAAGAAATGGCTTTTGAAACTAAAAATAGTATATAAAATATTTTTAAATGCATAACCTAAAAAACTCAAATAAAAGCATAAAGTTTTATAAAAATCTGAATTTGCCATCATTATTGACTTAATCTTACTATTCTGTTCTTATTTTAATGACACACACCAATTTAACTGTTGCTCAGTTACCAAAAAGTGTTTCTAATATTAATTTGGAGTTATTTCTGTCAAATGAAACAATGCTGTCCTATTACTTGTGATTTTCATATGAGTCTATTTAAGTTAATTAACCAAATTAGCAAACCATAAAATCAGGTGTGTTTATAGAGACCCAAAACCTTGTAATGACTTCAATGAAATTTTTAATTAAAAAAAAGGGTTTATTTTACTTAACACGACATGATGGATTCCTTAATAAAATGAAATTGTTACTTTAAATTGTAACTAATATTTCTCTTGGCTGCAGTAGAAAATGATTTGCAAAATGAAAAGTTGACAAGTAAGACTGAAATAATTAATGAAGATTTAGGTTGTATTCTGTTTTCCCTTATGTTCTCCATATCTGCTAATTCAACAGGATTTACATAATGTGGCATTTGAATTATGGAGAATAGAAATCTGGTAGCATTATAAAACCCCCATCTGGAAAATAATGTTGGGGCTTATTAGTTATATAAAATACCTTAAAATTTCCTGATATTTCATATGTATAGGTAAATAAAGATATTATTGGGGGGTTCTCAAAACATCTTTGTAGTGGTGGTTTTATTTATTTTACCTTTTAATCCTCTTTCAGCTTCAGAGGGGAAAATTAAGTTGGTAGTAATTATTAACCAATTTCACACAATAACGCTGTGATCATTTCAGTAGTTGTTAATAATTCAATTTCTAGACCCCTCCCTTAGATATCCTTACTCAGCTGGCTTTAAGGGAGGACCCAGAAATCTATTTTAACAAGCAGCAGCAGTGATTCAGATGTAATAGTCCCTAGGTCTCACTGTGAGAAACCTTAGAAGAGAATGTACTCCTTCAAGCTAACACACTAAAAATAACAAAATTAAATATTCCAAATACAACTGTAGCCTCCTTTATGCAACTTTAATCTTGGAATGATAGGAATGATTATCAGAGGATTTTTCTCCCCGTAACAGTAATGTATGAATTTAGAGCTTTGAAACATAGTTATCATAGTATTCCTGGTGCTGTACTAAGCACTTGGTACAGTATTTGGCACATAGTAGGAACTGCATAAATATCTTGGGATGGATGAATGCAGAAAACCAAGTAGCTCCATGTTTAGGGTTCCCACGTTATCCACATGTTATCTTCTCTTTGGTTCAACTGCCTAAGTTATGTGTACAATTTTATCTTTCTCCTTAAATTGTGCAGGTTTTTAATGGAAGAGACCACAGCTTATCTATTTTCATCACTATTTTTTAACTCTGTTTTACACATACATGCCTAGTAAATATTTATCAAGTAAAAAATATTTTGTGATTATTTAATTCATCATAATAGATTCTCATCTCCATGAGGGCAGGGGCGTTGTCTCTCGTTTTCATGGCAGTTTTATCAGGACTTGGTAGTTAATGCATGTTTAGAAACATATGAATGAATGAATGAATAAATAAATTACAAAAAACTTCATTTTAATTCCGATTTTCTTACAATTTAATTTGGGGGTTAATGAGGTTTTCTGGGTGGTAAAATTTATTTTTATATTAGAGAAAAAAAATTTGCCTTGCTCTTTAAAAAGAAACTTACAATGGAAATGTCCCTACCATTTGCAAGAGATAGAATGATAGAACTGGACAAATTCTGAACTGATGAATCTTCAGCAGGGCATTATTATAACAGAATTTTCTATCTTAGCATTAAATAGTGTTTATCAGTCATTACGAAAATATCACAATTTGAACCTATGTGGCAGTTCTTAACATCCTATGAAGTAAAGATGTTTGCCCATGAAAGCTAGAGAGCCTATCAAAAATCAAAAGATTTGTTTTCTTTAGTTGAAAAATTAGGAAAACAGAATGTCCCAGTACCTGCAAACTTTCTGAAATAAATTCTATTAGTGTACTCTTTTTAAAATATTCTTTTCTTTTTTTTTTTTTTTTTTTTTTGAGACGGAGTCTCGCTCTGTTGCCAGGCTGGAGTGCAGTGGCGTAATCCCGGCTCACTGCAACCTCTGCCTCCCAGGTTCAAGCGATTCTCCTGCCTCAGCCTCCTGAGTAGCTGAGATTACAGGCACGCACCACCACGCCCCGCTAATTTTTGTATTTTTAGTAGAGACGGGGTTTCACCATGTTGGCCAGGATGGTCTCAATCTCTTGACCTTGTGATCCACCCACCTTGACCTCCCAAAGTGCTGGGATTACAGGTGTGAGCCACCACGCCCAGCCTTAAAATGTTCTTATGATCATATTTCCTTTCAAAACCTATTAGTATCAGTAAATAAGTTAGAGCTCTGATAAAGTATGAAATCTCAAGATTTATGCCCTTGGTAACTAATTAGCTGATTAAATTTCTCCTGATGACTTGCAGTGCTTTTTGTTTTTCTGTAAACATTTTGGGTTTTTTTGTTTTGCTTTGTTTTGAGGAACTTCTTATCTTCTACAAATTATCTGTTCTCCTTTACTTTGAATGTACCTAAAATAGTATTAGTTATTTAAGCATTCCAGTTTCTTGAATGATTGTTATCTGAGATTTTACTGTGAATTTTAATAAGCATCTCATATGTGGAACACTTACCTTGACAAGTTTATAGACATAAGATTACTATGGCTTAAATATAGAGATACCTCTATAGAAGTATAGATGTCTTTGTGTCACCCTGTCTCCTTTCTGGTCAAATCCCAGACCTCATTCCCCTTTTCATTTCTGTTAGTCCTCAAAATGATCCTCTCTTTTACTTAGGTCAGCTCACATGAGCCTATCGATTCCCTGACTAGATACAATTCTTGAATATCCTCCTAAATGTATAGCCTGCAAAAAACATCAAAGTTTTAACTTCCAGAAAAATGTAACTAACAGAGGAGTATAGGGGAGATATTGAGAAGAGGTGCAAGGATTAGGACATCCAAGTTGCTTCAGGCCTAAGCAGAATACCTTAGTGATTCCAGAGATTTAGATGTGTGAATTTAGTTGAAAGCAGGGGCTAGGGGAACTTGTCTTTAAGTCATTTACTGCACCCACACATACTATCTTTAGATTGTATATTCCAGATTGTTAACAATGTAAAGTTGCTTTTATTCACACCAGATAAAATTGAAAAAGAGCAGTAGTCTATATGAGAAAATAATTTTTATCATACTAATGGCTCTTTGGGAATGCTGGGGTTGAGCTGATTCTGATGTAAGGTAGAGGCCAAAGAAGAAACTTACAGAGGAAAGAAGGCAGGTACTGACAGGGAGCAAAGGCAGGCTGCTAAACACTCCCTTATTCTCTTCAGTTGTATTCACACGTGCCTGGTGACTGTCCCTGAAGATGCATTTTTTCCCCACTTCTTGACACAGCATTCAGGCACACACCTTCCCCCTAGTTCAGATATCCCCAGTCACTTCATGAATAATTCCACAGGAAGGCTTGCACAGAGAATTCTAGGTACTTCTACAGAAGCATTTTTATCTCCAGAAGTCCCCTAACCTTTGTATTTTAAGTGATTGTTCTTAGACATGATTTTGTCCAAGGAAGAGTTTTCTCTATTGTTTTCAATTTCTTGAAACATCTTTATGGAACTGGAAATTTAACTGATGGTAGTAATCTTCCAATGAGAAAGCTCTCAATATTTTTGTATGCTGTCTCTATAATACATGACTATGATAATGAATTATGTATTCAAAAGAGAAACATACAAATTAAACTCCAAATTTTATAGACTCCACAAACTTCTATCAACTTGTAAGCTAAATTTTATTTAACTTGTCTTTTTCCTATATATACTTTGTTCTAAAATAGGGATATGTTGGAGAATTCGTAAATTTGTGATTATGTTTTGAGAAATTAATAGTTGTTTATATGGAATGATATCCAGGCTACTATTAAGCTGTAATTTAATTAATTGGAATATTAAATAAACTGCTTTCCTTTTTTTCAGGTGATGGTGTTTGTACATGCTCGAAATGCCACTGTAAGAACAGCTATGTCTCTAATAGAAAGAGCAAAAAATTGTGGCCATATTCCCTTCTTTTTTCCTACCCAAGGACATGACTATGTACTTGCAGAAAAACAGGTAAGAAACAAAGAGGACAAGAACTAAAGCATGTAACATGCCACATATCCCGGGTATTTTATATGTGAAAGATCCACGGTCTCAATTTCCAAGAAGTTAATTTTGCAGATTTATGATGTTATAATCTTGACTTTTTTCTTGACTTAATGATCTTTTATTAAAAGGTTTCACTCTATGACATAACACTTATCATTCCTTTCTATATGGTTATAATTGAAGTGCCTAGTCCTGCTCTTTAAAATATAGTTAAAATATAAAATGCAGTTAAATTTCATATCCTATGTTAACATCTAATGGGCTTATTATTGTACTTCTAAAGAATTAATACTTTTTAAAAATTTCTCAGTTTTGATTTCTAAGGTTAATATTGACAGATACAACCTAAATAGGCTTTTTTTTTTTTTTTAAGCAATGTAAAGGAATTCTGAGCCAAAAAGTTTGTCAACAGCTTGTTACTCAGTGTACACATGCTCAAAGGACAAAAAGGTCTTGGGGTCACCTGCATCCTTTTAAAAAGGGAGACCTTTAGGCCCCAACCCGGACTCGCCAAACCAGAATCTACATTTTAGCTAGATCCTCAGGTGATTTTGTATACATTACAGTTTAAGAAGTACTCCTCTAGGTAATTTGAGTATTGGTAGTATTTTAAGATTTATATCAGGTTTTATTTAACTATATCAGATAATTATTTACATGAAGATTGGGCAGATTATGGCCCGAAGGCCAAAGATGTCCGTCTGTTTTGTAATTAAAGTTTTGTCAGAACATAAACATACCAGTTTCTTTATTGTGTGACTTTTTTTGCACTACTGGAGAAAAATAGAGTAGTTGTGATAGCTACTGTAAATTACTTTCTGTTTCTTTGCAGAAAAAGTATGCTGACTTCCTGATTTAAAGCTATGAAAATAAATTATGAAATAAAAAATCTGTTGGCATAAAATGATAGTAACTTTAAATTTTATATATATATATAACGTAAGATTTAACTGATTGGTTACTGAACAGCTGCTAGCTGCCAGACATTGTGCTATGCCCTTTTATATTTATTATCCTAGTAAAATATATTTAATTGTGACTGTACTATAAATTTCACTATTTTATATTGATATTTTAAATTCTATGTTAAGCTGATGTCAGTTGTTTTGAACATCAGAGTCTCTTTCAATTTAGAAACACAAAATTTATTCATTTTCTATTTTTTTACTTTTATTACCTAACACTTATTGTACAGATTGTACAGTTTTGTGTCCTTCCAATTATTTATTAATCATGAATTTATGAGAGTCTTTGAAAAGTCAAGTTGGTATTCATAAGTCTTGTTTCATTTCTTTGGAAGTACAAAACAACTCTATGCTGTTTAAAAGACAAGCCTTGAGAGCCACCTTGTGGATTTCTGGTTTCTTTATCCATCTCAATTCAGATAACTATTGTTAATTTAAATAATGCCGGTTTATTATTTAATTGTTGTTATTGTAAAGCTTAACATTTATTAAGTGGTCACTGGTGTCAGGCATTGTTTTTATTACTTTATGTAACTCATTCAATCCTTACAATCTATGATATTGCTGGTATTATCCCTTGATATGGCATATGTGTAAATCAAATATAGTATGAAATATTCTAGAGCATATTATAATAATTTATATGGAGATATTTTAAAATGATGTTTATTTAAGGCAATGTCACCAAGCACTAATTCACAGATCACTATGCTGGAAGAAAAATAACAGAGAAACGGAAAGTTTTGATACAATTGGGTAGACTTGAAAATCCCTAGTCATTTTTATTATAAGCTTTTTTATATTTTTATTATACTTGATTTTTTTCCTGATCCAACTATTATTAGACTTTTTTTTTTCAAGAAGAATGAATTGCACACACATTTATTAAGAACATTGTCCTACTCACCCTTATATTCCCAGCCTTTCATAGAGTATTTGTCTGATAGTAGGTATCCCAGAATTACTTTTTTTCTTAGCTTTTATTCCTCTGAGACTGACATTATAATAGATGTTTCACTTTAATTTTCTCATCTGACCTGTACCATTGTGCTGTCCTTTAAGATTCTTATTCCCATTTTACAGATAAGGAAACGAAAACTGAGAAAGTAAATAATTTTCACAGAGAATCTCATATTAAGTAGTGAGGCCATGATTTGAGCCAGTCTGACTCCAAAGTCCACCATTTTCACTACACTGTGTTCTATTTGTTCAAAAGCAAACAGATCAAATCCAGTCTGGAGCTTTCTGAAGACCTTAGGGCATGGGGTCTTTTTTTTTTAAATAAAATAGAAGAACATTTCTTCAACCTAACTATATCCCTCACTTCTCCTAAAGAGAGATTTTAAAGAGTGAAACCCTCCACAGTGCATATTATAACAAAAGATAAGGTCATCTTTCTCAATATTTTCTCAGAGCTCTAGAATTTAAGAGTATTCCTCTAGTGCTAGTAGTACATTCCTTCATATTTCTTGAAGTGCCTTTGAACTTAAATGGTATTAACATTCTAGCAATTTCAAGGGATCTATTATCATCATGGTGGGAGACATTTCCTCCCATGTTTTTGAAAAATGGGAAATTAAGAACCCAAAACATTAAAATTTAATTAGAAGGTAAATTTGCTACAGCAGTACATAGAAATTTAGCCTCATGCCTTCTGTTACATGGCTAAATCCCTACCATGCCACAGTGATGCCTTACCCCTAAGTGTTTAATGTAATCACCTCAATTCCTGACTTACTAAGATCTTTAAAAGCACTTCTTTACAG